>NC_000017.11:5491111-5642626 GCF_000001405.40 Homo sapiens | reverse complement strand
CGTGTTGTGGGGAGCCACTGCTGTTTCTGGAGCAGTATGGTGGGGTAACATCACCTGTCTGGATGGAGGAGCCTGGAGGCCACTATCTCCTCCTACTTCCCAGCCTGTCCGCTCTTCCTCTATAGGTTGTGAGTTCCTTGAAGGCAGGGACTGGTAAGATTCATCTCATGGTCCCAGTGCCTGGCAGGTGGCCTGGCTCAGTACTCAGTGAATGAATGGAGTCTGACTTGCAGAAGACCTAAAGCTCCTCTTTCTTCATCCTTCTCTCCCCACAAGGATGAATGGGAATCAAGGGTGAAGAAGAAGGATGTTCATTCTGTAAGGAGGAAGAGGCACGGCCTGGTTAGTTGGATTTCAGGACACTGGTTGGACTGATGTTTGTAGGGGCAGAATTTTCAGTGGATGGAAAAGCTTCTCTTTCATGGTGGCCAGCTTGCTTCTGCTCTTTAACCCCTCTCTCCTACACTGTAACGTGACAGCTAATTTTATGCGTCAATTTGACTGGGCCATGCTAGGCCACGGTGTGCCCAGATATTTGATCAAACACTATTCTGGGTGTTTCTGTTAATGACATTAACATTTACATCTATACACTGAGTACTGCAGATTTCCCTCTCTACAGTGGGTGGGGCTCATCCAGCCAGGTGGGCCTGAATAAACCAAAAGGGTGACCCTCCTCCAATTAAGAGAGGATTCCTCCTACCAGACTGCCTTCCAACTGGAGCTTTCTCTATCTTTGGACACAAACTCAAGCATCAGCTCCTCCTGGGCCTTGAGCTTTCCAGCCTTCAGACTGGAGCTACACCATTGGCTCTCCCGGTTCTCTCCTGGTTCTCAGGTCTTCGAACTTGAACTGGAGCCACTTCTTCAGCTCTCCCAGGTTTCCAGCTTGCCAACTCACCCTGAAGACCTTGGGACTTGTCAGCATCCATAATCACCAAAGCCAATTCCTTATCATAAATCTTGACTTTTGTCCTCTGGAGAACCCCAAGAATTACAAGTAGCCAGTCCCAGGGACACTGTCTAGGTCTGGAAGGGCAGGGGGAGGACAGCTAGGGACAATTATGCCCTAGGCCTTAGGGAAAATGCTTTTTTTTTCCCCCCCAAGACGGAGTCTTACTCTGTCATCCAGGTCAGAGTGCAGTGGCGCAATCTCAGCTCACTGCAACCTCCACCTCCCAGGTTGAAGCAATTCTGTCTCAGCCTCCCAGGTAACTGGGATTAAAGGCACCTGCCACTGCACCCAGCTAATTTTTGTATTTTTAGTAGAGACGGGGTTTTGCCATGTTGGCCAGGCTGGTCTTGAACTCCCGACCTCAGGTGATCTGCCTGCCTCGGCCTCCTAAAGTGCTGGCATTACAGATGTGAGCCACTGCACCCAGCCTGAGAAAATGCTCTTTCTCTTCCTCCCTAGATCCATTCCCCCTCGTGTTGGCTTTTCCTTGCATTGCAACAATAAGATTTAAGATTTGGGTTTGAGCAGTAAGAGGTGAAACAGAAAAGTGTGAACCTCCTGGTCTTGGTCCTAAAGCTGTTTAGGCTTAAGAAGTGTAGAAGAAAGAAGCTGTTCACAGGGTGCAACCAGTCCACTTGAATTCCACATCAAGATTTGAGCATCAAAACCTCAGCTATTTTTGAAAAGATTCCTTTGCCTCTGTGGCAGATGGTATTTTCCTATATGATGCAGCAATATCTCTCATGTTACATGCCTCTCATGCAATGTGACTTCAACATTCCTCCCACTGAGAAGTGGGATCTTTGCTCCCTCTCCATGAAACTGGTCAGGCTTGGGATCGCCCCAACCAATAGAGCTCAGCAGAAGTGATGTTATGCACCTTCCAAGGCTAGGTCATAGAAAACACGGCACTTCCACCTGGGTCACACTGTTTTAGGGAGTCTTGCTCTGCAGAAGCCAATCATTTTGCTATGAGGAAGCTCAAACTAGCCCACACAGAGAGAGCACACGGAGAGAAAGTGAGCACCCCAACCAACATCCAGCAGCAACCACAGACATATGAGCGAATGAGCCTTCAGATGGCCTTGGGAACTTTAAGGACAGAATGAAGCTCCTGGGTCCTCTGACTGTAATACCATCTCATAGCATGCCAATCTCACCATGACTCATTCACAGAGAAAAGGAGAGATGATGACAGGAGGAGAGAAGGAGTGAAGGAAGGAAATTGCAGGCAGTATTGCAGCCCAAAGCAGCTGTACATTTAAAAAAAAAATGTTCTTTGCCTTCTTAAAGGGTATTCACCCCCTACTTGCCTCCACCATTGTGTGAGGAATTAGCCCCTGCTGGCCCTAGTGAGAAGGTCAACTTGGTCAGACAGAAGCACCAGGGTTTGTAGGAAAGGTCTTTGTATTCTAATGGCCGTCCTCCAGTGCCAAAGCCAAGCAAGACAGGGAGTGCCGGTAGCCTGGCCCAGAGTGCTCCACTGAAGGTTTGTGCACTGAGAAAGCCCTAGACAACAAGCCCAGAGCCCAGCAGGGACAAAAAATTGTTATTGGAACCTGAGAGCAAAGGGTCATCACAGGAGGACTGCAGCAGATGATTGAAAGCCAAGTCATCCAGAGACACAGGTCATGAAGCAGGTGGCAGGTGCCAGAGTGTGTGGTCTGAGAGAAGCAGCTCTGCCCACGTCTCCAGCAGCCCTGCTTTGACCAATTTATGCAGCCATGCTGGTGAAGAAGTACCTGCCATGCGGCAAGTGGCATGGGCATGCGTAACCCTTGTCATCGCTTGATGTGTGACACGAGGAGGAATGACCCAGCAATGGGAGGCGTTTCTAGTTACATCAATGAGGAAGAGAGTGAGACACACCTGAGATATGGTCATGTTGGTTGGCTGACCCTTCCTGCCTCCTTTTCAGCCCTTTCCAGGGCCCCTTCCTCAGGAACTATCTCACCCACCCTTGCCTGCCTGGCTCAGACGCCGGTAAGGAGACCAGCTGGGCAAGGTCATGCTTAACTGAAGCCACTCAGCTCAGCCCCCAGCTCAGACACTGGAGCAGATATTGGTCCATCTGACTGAGCTCACAGCCAAACAAATGAAGACCTTGTCCTTGACTGCCCTGAATCTGACAACCTCCAGTTTGGCAAAGCTGGCAGGACCCACAGAAACCTTGGCAGGTGCTGGCAAACAAGCCGAGAGCCAGCCCATCGGGAGGAGTCAGAGAGCCTGCTCACATCCAGCTGTTGAGGGGAGGCCAAGGTGCTCACAGCCAATTGGTGCTCATATCCAATTGATGGGGGGGATGGGTGACTGTACCTCCATGAACCGCACACCCACTTCTGCCCTTACCAGTGGTACTCAGCTGGCCCATCAAGGAAGACTGCACTTGCTGATTCTGGATCTCTCCATGAAGGAAGTTATTCCTGGATTTTCCTTCCCCTTCACTGCTTCAGCTCAGACACTTTGTCATGCCTATGGGGTGTCCCAAAAAAGACTAATTTAGGTACCCCTTAGTATGAGATATCATCCCACTTCTTCATGCAGAAGCCCAGTGCCAGAAAGCCCATCTCCAGGTTCTGGATTGATGGCAAAGGCAAAGTGTTGGCACAGGAGGCCCATCCCTAAGCCCTGGCTGACTGATGTATGCATACACCCATCTGAACACCCACCTACAGAGAGACAGCAGCTAGCACTGGAACCCACCAGGCCTAGAGACAGCTGCATGACCCAGTGAAGTCCACATCCAGTCTCACATCACGTCTTGGAGGCAGGAAAGGTGAAGTGCTATGTCAACTTAGCTCAGCTAGAGCTATGGTTCTCAGAACTCCCTTTCAGCTGCATGACCCAGTGAAGTCCACACCCATGACCCAGTGAAGTCCACACCCAGCCTCACATCATGTCCTGGAGGCAGGAAAGGTGAAGGGCTATGTCAACCTAGTTCAGCTAGAGCTACAGTTCTCAGAACTCCCTTTCTGTCATGCTTCCGGTTTCAGGGTGGCCCTAAGAGAAATTTGCACAGGATTTGGGAAGCAGAAATGAAGCACCAGCCATTACTCTCAGAAGGTCAGTGAAAAGCACCAGGCAATGTCACAGTTTACACACAATGTCTCTCAACTGCTAGCTCACCTTTCTGGTGGGGAGCTGGTATGGGAAACACCTGAGCTGTAGCTCCTCCAGTTCCTTCTGGGTCTCCTCCTTCAATTTTTCCAGGTCTTGGGCCAGGTATATGGTCAGCTCTGCAATAAAGGATGCCAGCTTCTCCTTCAAGTCACCTGTGTCAACATGATTGGAGGCAGTGAGGAACAGACATAGGTTCTGATTGTCCTTATGGGATCCTGTCAATAATGTTCTGGTAACTGTTTAGCAACCAGCTCACGAGGTATAGTTTCAACAAGAATGTCAGTTGGTATTTTTGTTATGTGAATAAGCAAGACAAAAGTGAAACAATGAAGATGTATGTTAGCACTTCACTTGTTCATCAATGTTGTAAGCTACTTCTTTGCTAAATTGAAAAATAGTTCTGAATGCCAAAAGACTATTTCCTATATTCACAATGTAACTGCTACAAATGGGTCAAATTTTTAAGTTTAATTTGCTTTATTAACATTTTCTTCATCGCCTTCTTAAGTCTAGATAATCAGCAAAATCATAAATCAAGCTCTGATCTATAGTGTTTGCCAGTCTCTGTGGTGTAAATAACTCTCTCTGGGGCTACGTTAAAGCTGTCAACATGATATCATTGAACATTGTATGGCATTTCCAACATACAGATGTAATAGACATGAATAACCTCAAGGGCATAGGTAATAACAAGACATTGCAAAATGATTAGGAAGGAATGAGTCTTGACTATTACATTTGTTTTAATGTAATTTATTTAATTGGATCTTTATATAGTTTAATTTTTTTTTAAGACAGAGTCTCGCTCTGTTGCCCAGGCTGGAGTGCAGTGGCACAATCTTGGCTAACTGCAACCTCCACCTTGAACCACAGGTTCAAGTGATTCTCATGCCTCAGCCTCCCAAGTACCAGGGATGACAGATGGCTGCCACCACGCCTGGCTAATTTTTGCATTTTTAGTAGAGATAGGGTTCCACCATGTTGGCCAGGCTAGTCTCAAACTCCTGACCTCAAGTGATCCACCCACCTCAGCCTCCCAGAGTACTGGAAGCCACCACACCCAGCTTTTTAATTTTTTAATAATGGCTGTGCTTAACAGCTTGATCACAAAATTCCTAAAAATTTAATAATCAGCTCTTGCAAGTTGGTACAAGCCAGCTCTGGTTGAAGTGTCTTCATGGTTTCCAGCTTGTGTTTGCTCTCCCCAAGTTCACATCCAGCCTTCCTTTCTAGCAGCCAGTTTTGCTGAACTATAGCGACATCAGGCACAACATCAGACACAGAAGCAGCAACCTTACACAGAGGTATGAACCTGCTCCTACAATTATATCACTTGTAGTTCCTATAAAACATCCCTTATTCTGTGAAACTCAATATGTTTCTGCTTCTATGTTCAAACCCTGACTGATACAGAAATAAAGGGATTTCTTGAGTCCAGAAAGGATGCTGGCCACCCCTGTAGTAGGCTCCAGAAGTTTGTTTCCATTTCTCAATAATGCAAGCACACAGCCGTCTTCCAAGCTGCTCCTAAATTACACACATCAACATAAATGTGCACATGCTTCCTGCGGACGCGGAATGGCAGCATGCAGAACCAGGGCTTGGACCACTATTCCCAGCCTGGTGTGACAGCCAGAGTGATAGAGTCAGGATTCATCTAAGAAGGGCACTGAGGGGCTGTCCCAGCAGCAGGGTTGAGAAGGTGTCAGGTGAGTAAACTTGCAGGAACCACTAGAGTATCTCAGCATGTATGGAACATAGCCACGAATCCTAGTAGCAACCAGTCAGAGTGGAAGGCCTGTCCTTTGTGAGCACTTGCTCACTCATTCATTCATTCACACATTGCCTATTCTATGCCAAGTCTTACACTGAACTCTGGAGCACAGTGATGAAAGCAGAGGCTTCCTACATAGAATGTTTATTTGCTTAAACAAAAATATCAACTGACATTCATGTTGAAACTATACCTGGTGAGCTGGTTGCTAAACAGTTACCAGAACATTAGTGACTGGATCCCATAAGGACAATCAGAACCTATGTCTGTTCCTCACTGCCTCCAATCTTGTTGACACAGGTGACTTGAAGGAGAAGCTGGCATCCTTTATTGCAGAGATGACCACATACCTGGCCCAAGACCTGGAAAAATTGAAGGAGGAGACCCAGAAGGAACTGGAGGAGCTACAGCTCAGGTGTTTCCCATACCAGCTCCCCACCAGAAAGGTGAGCTAGCAGTTGAGAGACATTGTGTGTAAACTGTGACACTGCCTGGTGCCTTTCACTGACTTTCCGAGAGTAACAGCTGGTGCTTCGTTTCTGTTTCCCGAATCCTGTGCAAATTTCTCTTGGGGCCACCCTGAAACTGGAAGCATGACAGAAAGGGAGTTCTGAGAACTGTAGCTCTAGCTGAGCTAAGTTGACATAGCCCTTCACCTTTCCTGCTTCCAAGACATGATGTGAGACTAGGTGTGGACTTCACTGGGTCATGCAGCTGTCCCTAGGCCAGGTGGATTCCAGTGCTGGCTGCATATAATGTGGTACCTACAATAGACTCTCAAACAGAAAGGGGGCATGAGTAGAAAGACTGGTGAAATCTGAAGAAAGTCTCTAGTTTAGTTAGTAGTGTTGTACCAAAGTTAATTTCTTAGTTTTGACATAAGTACCATGGTTATGTAACATGTTAACATCAGAGGAAGCTGGATGAAGAAAATACAGAAACTCTCTATCTTTGTGACTTTATGCAAATCCAGAATTATTTTTAAAAAAAAATGTTATTTTAGAATGTTAAAAAGCGGGGAGAGAATCTCCAGTTCCCCATCAAGGCCAGGGCCAATCACATGGGAAACAGGCAAAATCTAAGCAAGGCATTCCTTCCAGGAAGGAGGTGTGAGGACTGAGCTATTCACCAGAACTTGAGGAGAAACCAAGCCCAAAGCTTGAAGAAAGACTTAGAAACAAAGACTTGAGGCCAGGCGTGGTGGCTTACACCTGTAATCCCAGCACTTTGGGAGGCCGAGGTGGGCAGATCACCTGAGATCAGGAGTTTGAGACCAGCCTGACCAACATGATGAAACCCTGTCTCTACTAAAAGGCTGAGGCAGGAGAATCACTTGAACCTGGGAGGCGGAGGTTGCCGTGAGCCAAGATCACACCATTGCACTCAAGCCTGGGCAACAAGAGCAAACTCCATCTCAAAAAAAAAAAAAAAGAAAAGAAAAAAGAAAAAATAAAGAAACAAAGACTTGGGTCCCCAGTTCTGAACTTGTCAGAGCAAGAAGATGAAGTTCCAAAGCCTCTTCTTTGGGTCTTATAAATACAAAGAGATACCTGGTTAGGCAGAATTTAAACCTTTATAGGGAATTTATAAGCTGCCATTTAAATGTTGCAGCTAGTTTATTCCATAGATGAATTGTTCTAGAAAACCTCATCTGGTCCTTACGTAAAATGACAAATAGCCCCCTAGTGCCTCGCAAGGGAGGGCTGCAACTGGACATTTTCCTAGCCAACCTATTGGCTGCTCCTGCTGATACTCCTTGGAACGCAGAAGTGGTACCAGAAGGAGGAGATTGAGTCCTCTGGCAGCTTCTCAGCAAATATGCCAATGTTGCCCTCTGCCATTGTTAAGTTCAAACCTATTGGAATTGCTGGGGCACTGTGAGGATCCCGATTGAGAACTATCAGCAGGAAAAGATCCCTCTGGGAGGCTGAGACTCACCCTAAAGGGAGGGGAAATCTGGAGAAGGGACCCAAGCTAATCTCAAAGAGAGTTGGTCTTGAGGCCATGCATGCTGAGGCCGGCAGAACCCCCGTGGCTGCTCCATCACATGACAGGGCGTGGCTGGGAATATACTCATGAACAAGGAAGCTATTGGTTTAGGAATCCCAGTGTGCAGCACCCTGTGCCAAGTGTAACACTGAGGAAATAGAATCCCTGTCCTCCAGTGGCAGCTTGGGTCTGGAGCAGTGGCTCATGCTTGTAATCCCAGCACTTTGGGAGGCCGAGGCAGGTGGATCACCTGAGGTCAGGAGTTCAAGACCAGCCTGGCCAACACGGTGAAACCCCGTCTCTACTAAAAATACAAAAATTAGCCAGGCATGGTCGTGGGCGCCTGTGATCCCAGCTATTCAGGAGTCTGAGGCAGGAGAATCACTTGAATCTGGGAGGAAGAGGTTGCAGTGAGCCAAGATCGCACCACTGCACTCCAGCCTGGACAACAGAGCGAGACTCCATCTCAAAAAATAAATAAATAATAAATTTTAAAAAATAGCAACATGGTCAGTGCAAGGATGTGAGCCAGCAAGCACATCCTCACAGCCAGGGATAAGAGGGGACCACGTTGTGCTGGATCAGTTTTCAACAACCATCCCATGTGGCGGCAGCAGCATTGATGGCAGCTGAAGCCAGCCTGCCTACTGGTGGACTAGACATATTTCCCAGTTTTACCAGCATGAGCATATGGAAACCGGACTGACCACTTAGGACTGAGTGCACACTAAGGGGTTTTTTAAAATAATCTAAAAGCCCCAAGAAATTTCCTGAGATTTTTTAAAATATGGCAAGTGAGGGGCTTAGCCTATTTTTATTCAAAAATACAAAAGGTGACCAAATTCACTCTTAATGAAGCTGGAGAGTCTAGTTGTAGAAACTCGGTTCACTTCAGAATTGTTCCCTGATTAGTCTCTCTTAAATCCAACTTATTTATGCCTCCCAGAAGGGCTGTGCTTAGAGTTCTGAACCCAGGATTTTAAAAGCAAATTTCGTTTCGTCAAAACAGAAACAAGGGCCATCAATTGATGAACGTGGCTTGGAGCTAAAAGTTGAGGCTGCAGATACAAGAAGGCAGAGAGAGAGAGCTCCAACTATTTGTAAAATCCTCAGGCTGGGCTCTTGTTGCCAATGAGATGGGCCTCTTGGACCCTGAGAAGCCCAGTTCTGCTCTCACTGGATGAATAAAGCAGCAGACACTTGGTCTCCTGAACCTCTGCTGCCCAAAAGTCACAGATTCTGGAGGTCATTAATCTTAAAGAGCAGAAAGCAGAAAGTCCCTTCTCTAAGATAAAAATCTCAAAAATATCCTGTTTCCCCAAGTGTCTGCAGGTGTGTTCAAGGTGAGCCTCTTGGACAACTCAGGATGTGTCTGACAACTCGAGCCCTGCCATCTGCCTGTGTCTCCGTCAGTCCGTCAGGACCAATCTGCCTGTGTCTCCATCAGTCCGTCAGGACCACTGGGCTGCAGGGACATCAGCCACAGCTTGTCCTGCAAGACAGAGATGGGGGTGGAGCACAAAGGAAGAGAGAAGAACTTCGGAGTCAAAGAGACCAGAGTTAATTTCCAAGCACTCTCTCTCTCTCTCTCTCTCTCTCTCTCACACACACACACACACACACACACGCACACACACATGCACACACACAGAGTAGATAAAGACACATCACTCCTCTGAGGCCTAAATTTTCCTGTCCCTTAAGTGAGACAATAATAGTGTTATCTACCTTATGAGGATTAAGGATTCCATGAGATGATGCACACAGAATACCTCGCACAGAGCCTGGCCTTAAAAAGCACTCAAAAAACATGAGCTGTTGGAATGTGCACTACACCTAGTTTCCAGATTCTGTCATCCCATTTGCTGTTTGATCCTCAGAACAACTCTATGAGGAAGCTGGAGCAGATATGTTTGCCCCCGGCTTTGGGTGAGGAAACTGATCAATCCTTTGCCCAAGATGACACAGAGTTAGTGATGGGGTCAGGTCTGAAACGTGTGCCTGGCTGCTTTAAGTTCTGTGACATTTCACCTCCTCAGAGCACCTTCCCCATTTCCCCAAGCCCTGAGCCCTCCCTGCTGCCGTCCTTCACCTGCTGAAAGGGATCAGGAGAGATGAAATCTCAAGGCCCTCATCATTTAATTCACTTTAAGTGATATTAAAGAAAGCTTCTTTGAGGGATAAAGTGGCACCGCATTTTGCTACCATTCTCCTTGACAAGGGTTTCCATGGAGAAAGTGCCTGTGTCTCCAGAGGGGCCATCCCCCAGCTCCCTCACTGGGGAGCTGCTATATGCCACTAGAGCAGGAGAAATAAACCCCTTCCAATCTGCTTTGCTACAGTCCAGAGACCAGCAAGAGCCTGCTTCTCCAGCCCCCGTGGAGGCCATATGGGCATGTACAAGGCAAGATTAAGTGTGTTTGTGGGAAGGGGGCAGAAAGACAGCTGCTCTCATGACCAAGAAGGTTCTACATGCTCTAGGGAAGCTGGTCCCATTAAGGGAAGTTGCTCTACCTGCACTAGCAGATGGAGAGTCCCTGCTGACTGGCTGCTGGAGGAAAATCACTGCCATCCATTTCTGTTCCCTAATGAGAGATGGAAGTCTGGGACCTACACACCTCGTCAGCACCGTGGAGAGTTGCCTGCTCTTGGGCCTATAGAAGACAGTGGGGCTCTCAGTCTGGTAGGAAGAAAGGAAGCAGAGAGAGAGAACAGAGAAAGGAAGAACAGACAGAGTGAAAGCCAGAGAGGGAGAGAGAGAGAGAGGAGTGAAGAACAGAGACAGACAGATAAGCAGAGATGGAGTACAGGAGTCATAGAGATAGACACAAAGAAAGACACACAAGCAGACATACAGAGACTCAAACTAAGAGAGAAAGAAACAGCAACATTGCATAGAACAAGGACTTTGATAGAATTTAAACCCTAGATTCAAGCCCCAGCTCTTTAGCTCTCTTGAGTTATACAGCACAAATAAAAGCTAACATGTATCAAGCACTTATTATGAGCCAGGCTCTAAGTTAAGTACCTCCACACATCACAGTCTTTGATCCTCACAACAGCCCTACAGAGTGGGTACTAAAATCATCTTGATTTTTCAAATGAGGAAACAAATCATGTCAGCTGGGTTTCCACTGCCAAGGAAGCACTCTGCAACAGAACTGGGGTCTTCTCTCCTGAGAACCATGCGTGGTTTTTGGCTACTAACATCGAAAATGCCTTTTACATCCCCTAATGCAGCTGCCTCTTTACTAAGGCAGGTTCTCCCTAAAAACTGAGGTTCATCTTCCCATACTCTACTTAGTTAAAAGAAGCATGAAAACACCAAGGCTGTCCTTACCTCAAGACTTTCACACTTGCTGTTCCTCTTGCCTGGAACCCTATTCCCCAGATCTTCAGACATCACTACTTCATATCATTCAAATCTGCTGCAGTGTCACTCCCCAAGGAGGCCTTCCCTGAATTCCCAATACAAACATCACATACACACATGATCACTCCACCTCTCCTTACCAGGATTATTTTATTTGTGTATTGTTTTCTAGCTCTCCCACGAGAATATAAGTCCCAGCAGGCATAGGACTTTATCTTCTTCATAGTTGTATTTCTAACTCCTAAAAGAAGGCACTCAATTAATATTACTGAATGAAATTTGAATGAATGAACTCTTCTTCCTGGAACCAAGGAGTATTGGTCGGATGCTGCCCAGGAGCCAAGAGCTTTAAGCTAGAAACTAAGGGAGATGTGCCTCTGACTCCATCCAGGATCCACACTGGAGGCCCCATGGGGAAACAGTCAATAAACTGAGTCTTATCTGGACTTTATGGTATTTCGTTAGAGAATGTGAACACTGGATCATGAGAAGTCACACAAGGGGCAGGGTGTCACAGCATCTCCATTAAGCAGCCATCTCTAATGGATGCTGTGGGATGCTGCCCAGATCCTCCTTTAGGACAAAGGCACTCATCCCTCCAGCTCCTGGAAATGTTGGTGGCTGATGACTCCCAGCTGAGTTGCTCTCCTGGAATTGCCCTCTACTGAAGAGCAGCCTCATCCACAATCCCTCCTCCTACTTCCCTGGGGGACAGCTGCATCCGATGATTGGTCAGTGAAAGGTTCCAAAGGGCTGACTCTCCAGCCTCAATTCAGGACCATGCCAAAGGGCCGCCTCCACTCCAGGGCTCCCCAGGGGAGTAGCTGAAGCTCTTTTGCAGTTTTGTCATAGCTCAACTCCTTCCTCTGCCTAGTCATGCTTCCTTTACCAGATATTGATCATGGAGGCACTTCCTGATAAACTTTGTGCATTTGGAGATTCATCTCAGAGCTATGTGCCAGGGAACCTGACCCAAGGCACCATAAGTACTCATGCCTTCTATCCTTTATCTGGACAGCAACAATGAGGAGAAAGCTCTTCCTTACACTCACCCGAAATATGCCTCCCTAATGGTGTCCTCTCATTCATAGCCATCAGTTCTTTCCCTCAGGGACACACAAAACAAGTCAAATCCCTTCACCCCCAATAGACTCTCAGATATTTAAAACTGGTCATCGTGTCTCCTGAGAGCCATCTGCTGCCCTCTCCAATCTAATCAACTTCACTTTCTTCAACCTTCTAATATGGAACATCCACATTTTCCTGCTTGCTTTTACGAAATTCCCATTCCCCTATTGAAGTGCATCAATTACAAAAACAGAACACGTGCCCCATGTTTATGTAATACCCCTTTATGTAACCACCACAAGCACCGGTCGGGGCCACCTTGATGCTAGAGGCAAGGACCCCTTGGGTTTGGGCACACTTGGAATTATTTTTCTATTTTGGTCACTTCTCCTGAAACTTGAGTTCTTTCCTTTGGAAAAGAGCACATGTAGGCAGACCATTCCCCCAACTTGGGCACAATCACTGATCATTCTTTTCATCAGAGACTTTGCTCTTTTGTTCTAAACTACAATTTTTGACCAAAATGAATCTAGCTCTTCTGTCACCCCACAGGGGTAATAGCTAAGAATCTCGCTGGTGGCAGAGACAATCTTTCCTTTTTATAACTGGCTTCGGTCAAGTTGCAAATCGAATGGATACTGCTCTGTTGGGGGACTAAGAACACACTGTAAAACAGGCTGTTGTCTTTAAGAAGAAAAAAAATCTCATATTAATGGGCAAGACACATGTTACTATGACTACGGTTTTTAAAAGATTATGAGCAAGCCAAATGTCTTCTATTATTCATAAAGAAAAAATAATGTTTTGCCATCACCCACTGATGTGCCCTGCATCAAGATACACTGCCTTTTATTTGAATGTGTGGAAGAGAACAGCAGTTCAATGTATTTTGTCAGCGTCGTTAGCTTCTCCGGAGAGAATATTGGAACACTGTTGATGACGGAGCATCCATTACGCTGCAGACAACTTCTTCTGAAGCACTAATTTTCTCAGTATTGTGCAATCTAACTTGTGGATCTGCACTGCACATCAGCTCCGCAGTAATGCAATAATCAGCTGTAAGCATCCTGCTTCAGCTAAAACAACAGGCTTGGAGAGGCACGCATCTCTGAGTAGATTTACACACTTGAATCAGAAGGGCTTTTGACTAGCTCAGGCTCCAAACAGGAGTGTAGTGGGGAGATGGGAAAGGGGAAGCTTTCAGAGTGTGGAGAGCTGATTCGGAGGCACGTAGCCTGGAGAAGATGAGAGGGGCAACCTCGTGAGGAAGGAGGCAGGGCTCAGAGCCAGTTCGGGCTGACACTGTGGGGAAAATGTGGAGGGCAGCATCTAAACCCTCATGTCAGAGACCAGGGCTGCGGAGACCTTGGTACTGACTGAACAAACAGCCTCTTCAGCCTGTCATGCATCCAGTCCTATGCTAAGCCCTGGGGTTACAAAGGTGGTGAACACAGGGGCCAACCTTGCCCTTGGGGAGTTCACAGCTATGTGCCCAGTTTATAAAATCCTTTCTATAGAGTCTGGAAAGCTCTCTAGAAACACTGTGTGGGATGTGTCCAGGTGAGAGGTGCCTAACAGGGATTTAAGGCAGGGATGGCAAGCTGGTGGCCCCAGGCCAGAAGCAACCTGGCTTGACCGGCCTACTTAAAGGTTTTAAAATCAGGAGACTTTATATAAAAACTCAGCCTTGTCTTGAAAAATCAGAAGATCTATCCACATTGAGTCCACGGTCCAGGGAGGCGAGAATTATCTGGGGCCAGGTAGCAACAGCCCCCATGGATGGACACAGGGTCTCCCACACCTACATCCAGCTCTGACTTCACTCCATAAGCATCTGAATCCGGAGCCTTCTGGAGTCTTTTTTACAGGGAAGAAACATTTAGGTTGGGCATTGAAGGGTGAGTAGGAGTTCTCCAGGTTGAGAAGTTAAGAGGTGAGGAAAAAATAAAATGTGGCCAGACAAGAAAAGCTACACCTGCAAAGGCACATGGACATGAAACAGTCCCTAGTGTTTGAGTCTAACCTCAGGGTGGCTTGAGAATGGGTGCATGGTGTCTGGTCTGGCTCCTCTGATAGGCTGAAGTAAGGTAGTTGGGGTGAGAGGAGTGGGTCAGTATAAGAATACACAGTTAGGGGTGGGGCGCTGTGGCTTACGCCTGTAATTCCAGCACTTCAGGAGGCTGAGGCAGGTGAATCACTTGAGGTCAGGAGTTCGAGACCTGCCTGGCCAACATGGTGAAACCCCGTTTCTACTAAAAATACAAAAATTAGCTGGGCATGGTGGCACAGGCCTGTAATCCCAGCTACTCGGGAGGCTGAGGCAGAGAATCACTTGAACCTAGGAGGTAGAGGCTGCAGTGAGCTGAGATCGCACCACTGCACTCCAGCCTGGGCAACAGAGTGAGACCTTGTCTCAAAAAAAAAAAAAAAAAAAAAAAAAAGAATACACAGTTAGGAAGAAGATTGTGTCTAAAGTAAACTCAAGAAAAGGAGCTGTAGAGGAGGGGGCAGGCCTCCCTGAGTCTGAAACTGGAGGGTAGACACAGGCCGAAGGAAGGCCTAGTACGACAGTTACTACTGCTGCATAACAACCCCTGAAACTTTGTGTCAATCATTTTATTCTGCTCATGGACTCTACGAGTCAAAAATTCAGACAGGGCACAGCAGGGACAATCTGACGCTTCTCTCAATGTCTGGGGCTTCAGCTGGGAAGATGTGTCAGTTGAGGGTAACTCAATGGCTAGAGGCTAGGATCATCTGGAGGTGTCTTTATTCCCATGTCCAGTGGCTGAAGCTGGCTATCAACTGGAACTCGGCTGGGCTGCTGGCCAGAATACTCACAAGTGGCCTCTCCATATGGTGTCTTCACGTGGCCTCATTTGGGCTTCCTCATAGCATGGTGGCTAGCTTCCAAGAGTGAGCATCTCAAGACAGCGGGACAGAACTGCATGGCATATTGATGATCGAGCCTTGGAAATGACATAGCATCACTTCAGCCATACTCTATCCGTCACAACAGTCACGGAGGTCTTCCCATCTTCAAGGGGAAAGAACATAGATCCCACAGGGGAGGAATGTCAAGGATACACTGTAAGAAAATCATGAAAGGCTGGGCCTGGTAGCTCACTCCTGTAATCCCAGCACTTTGGGAGGCCAAGGCAGGAGGACTGCTTGAACCCAGGAGTTCTATACCAGCCTGGGCAACATGACCTGATCTCTACAAAAAAAAAAAAAAATCAAGAAAATTAGCCTGATGTAGTGGTGCACTCCTATAGTTGCAGCTACTTTGGAAGCTGAGGTGGGAAAATTGCTTGAGGCTGGGAGTTTGAGGCTGCAGGGAACTGAGATTGCACCACTGCACTCCAGCCTGAGCAACAGAATGATACCCTGTCAAAAAAGAAGAAAGGAAAGAAGAAAGAAAGAAAGAAAGAAAGAAAGAAAGAAAGAAAGAAAGAAAGAAAGAGAGAGAGAGAAACAAAGGGAAAGGAAAGGAAGAAAAGAAAAGAAAGAAGGAAAGAAAGAAAGAAAGAGAAAGAAAGAAAGAAAGAAAGAAAGAAAGAAAGAAAGAAAGAAAAGAAAGAAAGAGAAAAAGAAAGAGAGAGAGAAAGGAAGAAAATGAAAGAAGAAAAGAAGGAGAGACTGGATTCATTCAACTTTTTTCCCCAAGAAAACTGGATATATAAGCCTAGGATTAGGGAAGATGTCTGAGTTAGAAGCAGAAATCTGGAAGTCCTCAACAAGTACATGTTGTTTTAGGACACCAGGAAGGATGAGATCATCAAGAGTGTGAGCATAGGCAGGGAAATAAAGAGGAGGGACAGGGACTGAGCCCTGGGGCACCCCAACATTTCAAAGTCTGGGAGATGAAGAGGAGCCAACAAAGAAGATTAAGATGGATCCGTTGGTGAGATAAGAGGATATATAGATGAGTGTGTATCCTGAATACAAAGAGGGAAAAGTGTCTCAAGGAGGGAAGAATAATCAACCCATGATCCTTGCGGCCACTGGAGCCTTTGCATTTGCTAGTGATAGGGTCTGAGCTATGTTTTAGAAAAAAAAAAAAAATCTGGAAGTAGTATGTAGGACAATTTGGAGACAAAGCAAAGATGGAAGCAAATCGATGATGGCCAAATATAAACCCTGTATCTCGGTCCTTAGGGAGTTGAAGGAAGACTGCACAGGGTTGCCCCCAAAGCCTTCCTAAGACAGTTGAATTCAGAGTCAGGAATGAGAGGAAGTGATGAGCACAGCCTTGGAGAGCAGCCGGGGAGCCTCCCTTGCAGGTGAAACAGCTTGGCAAAGGCTTGCAGGCTGCAATGATGTGGGGCCACTGGGCCCAGGGGCAAGTCTGACCCCGTGTGAGTACCCAAGGGCTTCTTCGCTGTTCCTTAGCCCTGGATTAACCTATAAACCCACTGAAGGTTTATTGAAGGCAAGAATTATCAGAAAAGAAACAGTAAGGATTGAGTAAGCCACTCACCACTGCTGAAGAAATAACTACCTTCATATACAAAGTGCACGTCATCGTTACAACCCTAGGAGGATCCTGGAGAAATAAAACTCTGAAAACTAATATATAAAAACAGTTTTTTGGCCAGGCGTGGTGGCTCCCACCTGTAATCGCAGCACTTTGGGAGGCCGAGGTGGGCGGATCACGAGGTCAGGAAATCGAGACCATCCTGGCTAACATGGTGAAACCCCATATCTACTAAAAATACAAAAAATTAGCCAGGCGTGGTGGCAGGTGCATGTAGTCCCACCTACTCGGGAAGCTGAGGCAGGAGAATGGCGTGAACCCAGGAGGTGGGGCTTGCAGTGAGCAGAGATTGCGCCCCTGCACTCCAGCCTGGGCTACAGAGCGAGACTCCGCCTAAAAAAAAAAAGAACAGTTTTTTAAAAGGACGATGGCAACTTCCTTAGGGCCTCTGTTTGGCCCTAACTCATTCTTGATAAGCATTCTTTCTTCTGCCCTGTACATTTGTCAAAAAGCCTTCCATGCTGAGTTCCCTGAAGGAAGGATTAAATAAGCCTCACTTCCTTGGCTTCTGCCACCTGGTTTTTGTACCATGCACATGGCAAGAACCCTATTCCTCCTTTGATGCCTCCTCTTTCTTCTTGTAATTGATTTGGTTCTTACATTGTTTGCTCTGTGAGCTGTGAGGAAGATATAGTCTCCTGGACAATCAAGCCTGGGATTTCACTGCTGCAGGTCCTCCTGGAAATGCAGTTTTATGTCATTGTTAAAGTAAGAGTAGTGTGACATCTGTGTGTCCAGGGATGTCACACTGGCTGCTGATGATGTTGGCTGATGTTTCAACCCTTGTCTGGGTATTTGGCATCATAGACATCATCAAAGTGATTTGGATATTGAAGATTTGACATTTCCATACTGAGTAGCAAGACCTGGTTTAATAATATTCTTTGTGGCTTATTAATAGATATGTTCAGTATATTAAGCATATGCATATATATATAAGTGCATGTATAACTAATAAAAATATTAATATTTCTCTGGGAAGGTTTTCTCTCTTGGTGCGCACCACAGAATGGTCGTAGGTTCTGGAGGGAGTGAGATCAGAGGTTCAAGCCTTAGCTCTGCCATTTACTAGCCTCAATTTGCTCAACTGCAAAATGAGAACAATATGACTCTTTGTAGGATTAATGAGAATGTATGCAAGGCATCTGCACATATCAGAGGTCTAATAATTGAAAGTTGTTATTATTGTAATCATTACTTCTTCCCCCAAAACTTACTCCCTCGTCTTACTCCCTCTCCTTAACTTGTTCATTTATACTTTTCTTCCTTAGAAACGGAGCAGTATCTTCTTTTAACTGCGAATGGCATCCCCCATCATTTGTGTTTAAAGGAGTTTCTCAAGGCAGCTGGTATGTAGGTGGGGAATTTCCCAGAAACTGAGGAAAGGTCCCGGGACAGGGAAGCCACATTCACAACTCAGTCTTGCATTAATCAGAATCCAACCAGGAAAGAGAAACCACCAGATTGTTCAAGGCAAAGGGACTTGAATGCAAGGAATTGGTTACATGATTGATGAAAAAGCTCAGAAGCCCAGGAGGACAGTGAGGCAACCAGATGTTAGCAACAGCAGGAAGCCACTACCATCTCCAGGCCACAGGACAGAGAAAGAAGCCCAGGAGGGGCCCAGGGTCACCCTGAAGAAGCTGCAACTATAAAGGAGGTATAGCAGCTACTGGAGACTCCACCCAAAGCAGACAAAGAGGGAGAAATATCCTGGTTTCTCCCTTCTTCCCACTACCTCCCTCTTCCATCAGAGCCTCCCACTGGCTGCTATTGACAAAAGGCTGGGAATGCTGCCTGCAGAAGTCAGCCCCCTTCCATACAGAGCAGGGCACAGAAAGCTAGGGGATAGATCTGAGAGCAAACAGACCCGGAACCCATACAGACTTCTAAATCTTTCATTCATTTCTTGGTTAGCCACAGTCATCAGGTGTCTATACCAGCCCTGGGATGAGATGGGAGAATGAATCCCTGCCTCAAAGAGCAAATGAAAAACCAGACATAGCATGCCCTGCAGAACTTCTCCCCAGGGAAAATGCCCTCATTCAACACCTCTGTTTTTAGTACTCAAACTTCACAGAACATCAAGTATCTCTCAGTACAATATTTGTGGTTGATATTTGCATAAGAAAAAATATTTGTCCCAAAAATTCAATACCAAATTTGTAACAAAACACTCTACAGGACAGCTAACTATACCAGCCTCCTATATTGTCTTCCCACCTCGCCGTTCTCCTCCTCCCTAATCAATCTTTTCAAAACTCAGATTTGATCATTTACTTCCTCCCTAAAATGATTTGATTGTTTTGAGGAAAAATAGTAAAGTTTCCCAACACAGCCCTGGACAGATGGCCATTACCATACCTCCCATCTCCCCCTGGGCTGCACTCCCCTGGAAAGCATTCCAGCCACACCAGCTGCCTCTCATTCTGTGAACTTATTGTTTCTCTCGCTCTCTCTCTTTGCTCTCACCAAGTCCACTCCTCTTCTTCTAGATCTCAGCTGAGAAGTCTTCCTTGCCTCCCTGACTAGGTTCCATCTCCCATTACAGGTTTTCATGGCACTGTGTACCTCTCCTTTACAGCAATTTTCTCCATTGCAATTTGGTATTTGCCTGTGTTAATGTCTACCTCCTAGATAGTAAGCTCCCTCAGGGAAGGAACTGTTTCTGTTTTTCTTGTCATTGCACTTTCAGCACCAAGTATGGTGGCTGCATCACGATAGGCATTTAGTAAACATCTGTTGTATGAATGAATAGATGGGTAGATGGACAGATAGGAGGGCAGATGGATAAATAGGTAGGTGAGTAGATGAATAGATAGATGAGTGGCAGGTGTGTAGATGCATCAGTAGGTGGGTGCATGGATATACAGAGGTGGAAGATAGATGGGTAAAGGGCAGACACATGGGTATGTGGGTGTATGGACAGGTGGATGTGTGGAAGTATGGATAATGCAAGGGTGGATAGGTGGGTGAAGAGTGGATATTTGGATATGTGAGTGGATGGATGGGTGCGTGGGTGGATGGTTGGGTAGGTGGGTGGATGGTTGAGTGGAGAGAAGAAAGTGGATGAAGGTGACATGATAGCTCCCACATGTGAGTGTTAGAAGGATATCTCACTCACTGGACAAGCTCTGGGGGGGAGGTTTCTTTAGAATCTGTTCTCTGTCAGTGCTTGGTGCCCAGGAAATGGATGCTTTCTCTCATTTTTGCCCCACCTAACCTTTTCCCACCACCTGAAGGAGACACTTGTTCTTGTGGAGACTGAGGATGCTGACACTGGTTTAGCAGGAGTGTGGTCTCTGCTCGAGCTATTGAGGGGAGTCAGTAGTCACCTCCTCCAACAGTAAGCCATTTTGATCAGAGATATGGGTTCCAACCCATGGGAATCCCTTTTTCCTCTTGCTTCTTGCTTTACATACGCACAAAGAGACTAAGTTGGTTTCTTCTTCCTCCATAGATCCAAGAAGTGAATTTGGGGAATGTGACGGTCAGTTTCATGTGCCAATTTGGCTAGGGCACAGCCCCCAGTTATTCCATCAACACTAATCTAGATGTTGCTATGAGGGTATTTTGTAGATATACTTAACGTTTATAATCAGTTGACTTTAAGTAAAGTACAGTATCCTGGATACTCTGGGAGGAACTGATTCAATCAGGCAAAAGCCGTAAGAGCAGAACTGATGCTTCCCTGAAGAAGAAGAAATTCTACCTGTGGACAGAAGCTTCTGTTCTGCCTGAGAGTTCCAGCTACCCTTCCTGATGGCCAGCCTAGCCCCCATCCCCCAAAATGCATAAACCAATTCCATAGAAGCACACATATGCACATACATATACATATGACATATGTATCTACATATACATATACATATACACATGCACATCTGTATGCCTGTGAATCCTGACGTTTTGTCTCTCTGTTGGAATCTGACTGATACAGGGGAGGAAGAGGAGAGGCAGCCGCTGGGTCCTAGAATAGATGCTAGAAGCAGAACCAGTTGTGTGGTAGCTTCCTCAGATGAGGTTGTGGGAAACCTTGACATAGAAGCAGTGAACACCCTCTTCTTTTATGATATGAGAATACCCATAATGTGGGTGACTAGCCCCATCCCATCAGTCCCCACATATGGCCTGAGGTGTTGTGCAGATGCCAGGGTTCACTCTCAGAGGCTCAGGACTCCTTAGCATGACTTGTTCTACAGAGTCAAAAAACACCAATGGCCTTTGCACCATGGCAGGGCTGGACCTTCCCTCTAGAACACTCCGAGCCTTCCTGACCCTTAGTTTCTCCTCTCCCAGCCAGCGGGGGACTGAAGTTCAAACTCACTTGTAATTTTGGGTCACCAGTCTTCATGACAGTCAACTCTTCCCCCAGACTGTGCCCTTTCTGGCAGAAACCTTATCTTCTCTATTCTCAGCAGAGCAAGACCAGAGCTGAGCACCAAGCATGGTCTGGAAACCCCGGCTGGCGTAGCAAGTTCAGCCCTGGTTTTGCAGAAGATGTCCTGTGGTTACTGCCTTGGGGCTGCTCGCAATCAGTGGATGAGACAGATGATAAACACAGGAGGACTATGCCATGTGGTCAGGGAGATGCCAGGGGAAGCTCCAGGGTCGAGGGAGCCCAGGAAAAGGGGAAATGCTGACTTCCTAGAATAGTTAGAGGCAGCTCCTCAGGCTTAAGCTGGGTCTTGAAGGATGAGTAAGACTGTATCTAGGGATTTTTTTTATTGTTTTGAGAACTTATTCTGGACCTCACATTTGTCTAAGTTCTTTACAAGAACTATCTCATTTGCTCTTCACGACCACCCTAATAGGGAGCTTCTGTTATATCTTTTCCACCAGTGAAGAAACTGAGATGCAGAGGGAGAAGTTAAATAATTTGCCCTGAATCACATAGCAGCTGAATAATGGTACCAGGATTAGAACCGAGGTAGCCCGGTTTTGTTTGTCATTTGTTGTTTGTGTGTATGTTTTGAGACAGGGTCTTGCTCTGTCACCCAGGCTGGGGTGCAGTTGTATGATTATGGCTCACTGCAGCCTCCACCTTCCAGACTCAGATGATTCTCCCATCTCAGCCTCCTGAGTAGCTGGAGCTACAGGTGCACACCACCACACCCAGCTAATTTTTGTATTTTTTGTAGAGACAGTGTTTTACTACATTGCCCAGTCTGGTCTCAAACTCCTGGCCTCAAATGATCTGCCCACCTCAACCCCCCAAGTGTTGGGGTTATAGGTGTGAGCCACCGTGCCCTGCCTGGTCCAGTTTTAAGATCTTCTTCTTCACCAGCACCCTACACCACCTAGACAGGAGAAGTGGTACCCCATGTAAAGAGGACACGATTGCATCAGCACCATGTGAACCCATAGTGAAGCTAGACTCAAAGTCTGCCCTTTCCCAAAACTAGATTTTGAAAATATGACTGATGCACTTGCTTCTACTAAAGCCAGGAACATGAAATTATAATAAATTCTGGTCTGGGTAAAAATAAAATATTTAAACTTAAAATAACGTTGTGAGTGTTGATACGTCTACTTTTCTGTTTTGCAATACTTAAATTAACCCTTTAAAAATACATAAAAACACATTTGTTAGGATGCACCTTTTCCCCTTGCCTCAGGCTCCAAATAACACTGCACAGCACTGTCAGAGCCTGTCTTTACGTGAAATTCTGATATTACGTTAGTTGTGGGTTTTTGGCACTCATTTTGATTTTTTTAAATATTGATTTAAAATTTTGGTTATAAGTTTTTGACACCTATAGTAACGGCCTCCTTTGTTTGCCCCAGACCTGAGGCAAAGAGCTATGACAGCCCCCTGCACTAGCTGGAGTCAGGGGTGGACGTGGGAAAATCACATGAAAGGGCCCTGATGAGGAGACTGTGGGCCAGGGCACAGGAGACTTTCTAGGCCATGATGAGGAGCTTAGATTTATCCTGTGGGCAATGGGGAGCCACTGAAGTATTTTAATGAAGAAAGGGGCAGGGTCAGACTTGTGTCTTAGAAAGATCACCGTACCCTGCCTGCTGGACCATCAAGAAGGCTGATGCACGGGTCGGATGAGAAAGGACAAGGCCTAATCTAGGGCAGGGGCCGTGCAGATGAAGTTCGGGGTCATGGGGTGGGTGGCATCGTCAGAGCCCCCAGGCTGAGCAGCAGGAAGTTGAGTCTGGGAAGACTCTGGAAACCACCCTGAAAATGTTCGGTTCTGTGTCCCCACTTAAATTTCACCTTGAATTGTAATAATACCTACGTGTCAAGGGCAGGACCAGGTGGAGATAATTGAGTCACGGGGGTTGGTTTTCCCCATACCGTCACATGTCTCGCGATAGTGAGTGAGTTCCCACGAGATCTGATGGTTTTATAAGGGGCTTCCCCGTTACTCAGCACTTCTTCTCTCCTGCCGCCATTTGAAGGACGTGTCTGCTTCCACTCCTGCCGTGATTGTCAGCTTCCTGAGGTCTCCTCAGCCATGCTGAACTGTGAGTCAATTAAACCTCCTTCCTTTATAAATTACCCAGTATCGGGCAGTTCTTTATAGCAGTGTGAGAACAGACTAATAAGCACCTGGAGTCTGGGAGCGTGCCCTGCGGCTGCCATCATGGCGAGCGTCATCAGGGAGAGGGGCCAGGAAGGCAGGTGACTTCACCCACACAGAAAAAAAAAAAAATGCTGCTTCTGCAGCCCTTCTTCCCTGTTACCTAGAGTGGGTTTCAGCGAGAAGACTCTGACAAGACAACACCTGAAATCGAACGTGTAGTCTTCTAAATTGTGTGGGACCCTCAAAGGAGGGTTGGTCACGAACCAGAGGGCATAAGAGACAAGTAAACAGTAGACCCTTCATTTTTTATTTCCCGTCCCTGGCGTCCAGCGACACACTTTTCATTCCCAAGGACTTCCAGGGACCCAAAGTCCTCCCCTGGCTTGCTTTTGTGAAGCCCATGATCTTGCATGGAAACCTAAAAAAAAAAAAAAACTTAAAAACAAATGTTCATAGCATCTTTATTTATTATAGGCAAAAACTGGAGACAACCCAAATGTCCATCAACAGGTGAATGGATAAACAAATTGTGGTATATTTATACAATGGAACATGACTCAGCAACAAAATAGTGCAAACACCACATGCACAGTGTATGCACACCATGAATGAATCTCAAAAGCATTATGCTGAGGGAAAGAACTAGATGCAAAAGATATATACTGTATGACCTCATTTATGAATTCAAGGACAGACAAAACTAATCTATGGTGATAGATTTCAGAGCATGGTTACCCCGGGGATGATGGGAGAGGGTGAGACAAAATACTGGCTGAAAGGAGTACGAGGGAGTATCCTGAAGTGATGGAAATATTCCATATATTAATTTGACTGGTAGTCACGCTGGTATATACATATTAAAAATTCATCGACCTGTACACTTAAGATTTGTGCATTTTACTATATATAAATTATGCTTCGATTTAAAAATATATAAAAACAAATAATTTGTAAAAGAGGAAGTGATTGATGTGTGTATATGTGTATAAATCTATGTAATGATGATAAAATGCAAGTTTCGGCTGTAACCTATTGCCATAGATCAACACTGTCCAATAGAATTTTCTTTGGTGATGTAAACTTCTGTATCTGCACTGTCCAATATAGTAGAAACTAGCCACATGCAGCTATTGAATACTTGAAATAGCACGTGAGTGGCTAATGCAACTGAGGAACTAAATTTGTTGCTTCATTTTAATTAATTTAAATTTACATTTAAATAGGCACAAGTGGCTAATGGCTACCATTTGGGACATTACAGCATAGATTTAGTAAGATGCCAAACCAAGATGTTTAAATTTTCCACTTTGAGCCAAGCGTGAGGACCTTCAGCAGGACCACTTAGGAAGTCTGATATGTTCAGGGACAGGGTGAATGCTTTAGAGACAGGAGTTTTTTTGGAAGTTCTGTTCCCTATCATCCTGTTTCTTCTGCAACCAATGTCCCATTTACCTTACTTTGTCTCTTGATTAATTCAGATTCTCCTCAAATGTTCGGGGATCCATGGCCATTCATTCATGTTTATAAATGAACTGTTCTGACCAGGAGCTCTCTATCCAAGGGCAGGACTGGCCACTGGTGGCTTCATGCCACATGAATGATCAGAAAGTCAAAATCACACAAAACTTTCCCCCCTCAAATGCCAGAAGGCAGAGGACGTTACTCTCAGACCCCAACTCACGCTCACTGCCCAAATTCTTCCCGGACATTTATGGAATTTCTTAAGAAATAATCATTCTGTTTTGTCCTAGGGGTAAATTCTGGACTGTCATCTAGTCTGCATTTTGGGAAAGAGAGTGAGGGTTGTGACGGTCAACTGTTTTTGTACACATCTTCGATTATTCTTCCTGTTTTCAGCCTCATTCTCTCGTTCTAGGCCATCCTAAAGTACCTGTCATCTCTACGTCTGTGGCATTCTCTGGGCTCCACTAGGCATGTCCCCTTTGCATGTATTCCAAGCTGGGAGTTTCTCCACTCTGCTTTCCAACCAGCATTTCTTCATATACTTCCTCCCTTCTGGAAATCTGTTAAAATGCCTCATTCACTGCCCCTCCCCATTGTCTACCTTGTTAGAGGACTATACTATTGTATCCTTTACTGTCATTTTAGTGGAAGGAGGGAATATAATGTGCTCAGTGCAGCATCTTGAATAGGAAGTCCTCCAGGAATATCTTTAAACTCTCATGGACATAGACAGGTCTCCAATCTCTGCTACCTCTTGAAGAAAATTCCCAAGGTCTCCTCATTATCATATGACCTTGAATTGCATTCCTCCTCTGGGGTGGGGTGAAGGGAATAGGATCTGTAAGACCAGGGTGGAGCAGAAGGGATGAGCAGCACAGCTCAGTATTAGAAAGGATGGAAACTTCCACTTCCACCCAAGATGAACTAGTAAAAGGACGCCTAAGGACCCAGGCCCCAAAACCACTTTAGGGAATAGGCAGTGGTAAGGGGGCCTGAACTCACCCTTGGTTAGATCCCTGAGCAACCTTCCCAAAGGGCTTAGGGAGGGAATAATGTCCTGAGCTCCCAGGAAGCTAGGCACCATGACAGTGAGGTGAAGAATTACAACCGCAAGTAGTGGGAGCCATCCCATGCCCCTGGTAGGCTGAGCACCTCCAGGTTAACTGCTAAGGGAGGGAGCAGACTGGCAAAGGCCCAGGAGCTGGCACTTGCCCGTGCTGAGTGGGAATCTATTTCAGAAGGCGGAACACTGCTTGAAGAACACAACAGCATCTAATGGTGGCTATGTTTGAAAGTAAAGAGCTTGTCATTTTTGACACACAGAAAAAGGTGGCTGTGCAGCTGGAATATGATTAATTCCCCTTCAAGGTATGTCTGTACTGATCAAAAGACAACCAGATAGAGAATTGAAGAAAACAACAAAAAGAGTTTGAGGATGGTCCACTTAGAGGAAAGGCCTCTGTTGTCCTTTAATATGCACACTCACTGACCTCCTCTTTCAATATTACAGAGTTGCACATGTGTAGAATTAATCATTTATTGTTTGAATATACAGGTTGAACTCCAGTGCATTCCACAGTCCTTGGGTGGACCTGGAGATGAAGTAGTCCATCATCAAGCAAGGAGGTTGTCAGGTTTTAAAAGCCTTGTACTACGCAGGGGTCATATTCAGAATAGTTAACTAGTGTAGGCATAGGCACTGACCAGTCAGAATCAACATTGAACTTAATAACCCATCCAGTCAAACCAATACTGACAGTCAGCCTGCATACATGCACACACAGCCTCTGCAAAGTGGAATGAGCTCTGCTGAGCTGCACTACCTGGCTGCTTGGCCGAGCCTGGAACCTTCAGCCTGTGTTGTACCTTCAGCTCGTGTTGTTTGCTACTTTACTCTGGATATCTGTATTGGAGGAGCCTCTGGGAAAATTCCCTTTGGAGCCTGGGCTCCCCTTACATCTGCCACTTTCTCCCTTAGTCACATAACTATCCTCAAATTAGCAAGATGCCTGTATGCCTTAAATTAAGAGCAGACTGGTGCAGCATCAGGATGCACCAGTCTAAATTTAGACCCAGTGTTCTGTGGAAATGAAAGAGCATGTTTGGGTTTTAATAATAGAATTTTAAAAGACTGGTAGATCACTTGTGCGTGGGTCACCCAGCTCCTGAACACCTGGGTATTCTCAGTAACAGCTATAACTATACAGTCTGATACATCAGGAGTTGCATTAAGAAACTCGTAACAGAAAATGGCAATAATTTTTTTTCTCTCTTATATACAAGAAGCCCTGGGATAAACAGAAGAAAATATTCTGTAGTAAATAGAAGCCAGGATCTTCCATCTTTATGTTCTATCACCCTTAGAACACGGCTTTCATCCTCAAGGTCACTTCCTGATGACTTTTGGGGCTCCAGTCATTATGTCTGTGTTCTAGGCAGAAAGCTAACAGGAGAGAAAAGGCCGGGCGCGGTGGCTCACACCTATAATCCCAACACTTTGGGAGGCCGAGGTGGGCGGATCACAAGGTCAGGAGGTTGAGACCATCCTGGCTAACATGGTGAAACCCTGTCTCTACTAAAAATACAAAAAATTAGACGGGCATGGCGGCGGGTGCCTGTAGTCCCAGCTACTTGGGAGGCTGAGGCAGGAGAATTGCTTCAACCCGGGAGGCAGAGCTTGCAGTGAGCAGAGATCATGCTACTGCAATCCAGCCTGGGTGACAGAGTGAGACTCTGTCTCAAAAAATAGAATAAAATAATTAAAATCAAAATTTAAAAAAAAAAACAGGAGAGAAAAGAGGGGGCAGAAGTCACATACCATTGCCTGCCCTTTGTTAAAGCACTTTCTCAGAAGCTCTACCCAACCACTTCTGCTCCCAACCTGTTGGTCACCTCTAGCTGAAGAGAGGCTGGAACACTTGGTCCTTTAGTTAGACCCATTGCCACACGAAATAGAATTGGGGCTCTGTTATGAAGAACAAAGAAGAGAATGGATATTAGGGAGGCAACTAGCATTCCTGGCTTCAGCCTGTATAAGAAAGTCCCATGAGTCTCTGTCTCTCTCTCTCTGGGGCCATATGAAGAGATAGGAGATGCCCCCCAAAACCTGCCACTGCTGTTGCACCAGCTGAGGCCTCCTGCAAGAATCAGGAGCAACCCTCCCCTGAGCAGACAAGGTTGACCCAGTTGCTCAGGGGCTCACAGGCAGCCAGACTGGAGCCTACCCTGCAGGGGCAGTGGGAAGCTGTAAGCCTTTCAGCCCGGACCTTCCCTTCTCCTCCTCACTGGGTTGCAGGATGTGGCACCAAAGCTTGGAAATCTGAACTGTCCATGAAGGGGTCACCCATACAAGAAAAGAAATTACTGTTCTCAGCACCACTTTCAAAAAAGGAAAATTAGCCTAGAGTCACACTGAGAAGACCTTAGAGAGACCACATCAACCCAAGGGTGGGCGTGGAGGGTCAGTACTAGAAGTCCAGAAAAACAGAGAGCAGGGCTGGGAGTGGTGGTCACCACTTTCCATCCCAGCTCCTTCTCTCGGGATTTCACAAGTCCAGGGAATGAGGGTGATCCAACTGTATGGGTAGCAGCACTGGAAACTCCCCTGCGGAAGCTGGAGAGACGGTGAGGAAGGGGTGGCTTCTGACCTCAAAGAAATTACATCCCAAGGAACTCACGTTGAAACCCAAATCAGAACGTAAGGAACGAGGTTCAGATGCTGACCCTGGGGGAGATGGACTGAGGAGGGAGGTGTCCTTCCAGTTTGGGGACTCAGAGAAGCCTGAGGGGGGCTAAGCTATTTTTCAAGCATAAGGATGATTGGTTATGGATGATTGGGCAGCATCCTTTGAAAAGTCAGTGTGACATGAGCAAAGCTAGGAGAGGGGACCTTGACAGCTGGGGGCTTTGACTCTGTCCCTCCCTCTTCCTCCTGCTTTTCCTTGAGCCCGTGAATTTCCTTACTGCTTCCTAAGGTGGATGGAAGGAAGCACTTCCGTCTGAGGCTAGCACTTCAGGCCCGACTGATTGCTTCAGCAAGCAAGGACCCACTAGTGCTCCTCTACCCCAGCCCACACCCACTGCCTAGATTCTGTCCACACAGCACTGGCGCTCAGTGCAATCTTTTGGACAAATTAATGTGTGAACAAATACAATTGCAAGGGGGCCACCAGAGCAGCTGAACCTGCTCTTTGAGGGATGTTCTCCATGCAGAGAAACACCAGTCTACAAAATGGACTTGTTTCAGGTCCACCCAGGACTATGGCTCAAAGGGAAAAGTGACCCGTAAAATATGTTTGTGCAGTAAAACGAATGATCGTAGTGTCAATTATTTAGAAACAAGCCCCTAATGTGAACAATCAGAAGTGAGGAAAAATCGATACACTTCTTCTCATTGTGTAGAAATGGAAAACAAGCTTCATTTTACTCCAGCCCCAGGGAGAAAAGAGCAAATTAATGATTCCTGTCAAGGGCTCCTGTGCTACGTCTCTACCCAGGGCCTGGCTCAGGAAGGTGCCAGATAAATGGGTTAGGAGGGTTCTAATCTCAGGCCCAAAATGCCCAAGTGAATCCAGGGTGCACGCATGTGCACACAACACACATAACACACAGAGGTGTACATATGTGTTCTCAAGTGCCTTATGCATGCGCACCCATGTACACACATGCCTGCACATAGTCATACACATACATAGACACATCTGTCTACACACACACGAGCAAAGATGACATGTTCACTCACACAGGTGCACGTATGAATATTCACACACGTGTGTGAGTACCTGAACACGGATGGCTATACCACTCACTCACATAGATACTTACCTGTGGGTCTCAGGCATATCATGCTTGCTGAGTTCAATTACAGTGCTGTATGTGTTGTGGCCAACTAATAAAGGAATAGCTGAAGCTTGCAGCCGTCCTAGGAATCTGCTGGCTTCTTCACCCCTATTTCGCCACCAAAAGGGCTCCCCTTACCCAAGACATGTAGACTTTTATGGAGAGGTATACACTTAGAAAGTCATGTTGGGCCGGGCACAGTGGCTCACGCCTGTAATCCCAGTCCTTTGGAAGGCCAAGGCAGGCTGATCACCTGAGGTCAGGAGTTCGAGACCAGCCTGACCAGTGTGGTGAAACCCCCGTCTCTACTAAAAATACAAAAGTTAGCCAGGCTTAGTGGCACGTGCCTGTGATCCCAGCTACTCCAGAGGCTGAGGCAGGAGAATCACTTGAACCCGGGAGGCGGAAGCTGTAGTGAGCTGAGATCGCGCCACTGCACTCCAGCCTGGGCGACAGAGTGAGACTCTGTCTCAAAACAAAAGGACATGTTGTGCATACACATAAAGCACACATTTAGGAATACTCGTATTGGTTTCCTGTTGCTATTTGTAACCAACTACCACAAACTTCGTGACTCAAATTTGTCATCTTAGAGTTCTGGAGGTCAGAACTCCAAAATGAGACTACGAGGCTAAAATCACAGTGTCAGCAAGCCTGCGTTCCTTCTGAAAGCTCTAGGGGAGAATTTGTGTCCTTGCCTTTTCCAGCTTCTGAAGGCTGTGTGCATTCTTTGGCTCATGGCCCCTTCCTCTATCTTCAAGGCCAGCAGCATAGCAGTTCAAAGGTCTCTCTGATCCTCTCTCTTCTATTTATAACGACCCTTGTGATTACATTGAGCCCACCCAGATCATCCAGGATAATCTCCCTTTCTGAAGGTCAGATGATTAGCAACCTTAATTCCATCTGCAACCTTAATTCCTCTTTGTCATTTCCAGGGACTGGGATGGGGACATATTTGGAGGTCCATTATTCTGCCTACCACACTCACACACATTCAGAGTAAGGAGAACGGCAGCGTTTGCAGGATGAGAGGCAGAAAAGCTTGCTGGTAAGAGTATGGGTTTTAGGGTCAGATCCACCACTGAGGTTTTTTTGTTGTTGTTTGTTTGTTTTTTGTTTTTTGTTTTGAGATGGAGTCTCCCCCTGTCGCTTAGGCTGGAGTGCAATGGTGCCATCTCAGCTCACTGCAATCTCCCCTTCCCAGGTTCAAGCGATTCTCCTGCCTCAGCCTCCTGAGTAGCTGGGATCAGAGGCGCCACCACGCCCAGCTAATTTTTGTATTTTTAGTAGAGACAGCCTTTCACCATGTTGGCCAGGCTGGTCTCAAACTCCTGACCTCAGGCAATCTGCCCGCCTCAGCCTCCCACAGTGCTGGGATTGCAGGCGTGAGCCACCGAGCCCAGCCTCCACCACTGAGTTCTAACTCTGGCTCTGCCTCACATAGCTGTGTGACCTTGGGCCTGTTTCAGAACCTTTCTACACCTCAGTTTCAGCATCTGTGAAATGGAAATAATCACATCTACATTCTGGGATTATTATAAGGGTTAAATGAGATAATGCATGCAAAGTGACTGGTAGAGTACCCATCAGTCAGCTTTGGCTGCAAAACAAACAACAAAAATCTTACAGAGGAAACCCCTAAATTTTATCTCCCAAGGCTATATCGTAGTGGCCACACCTCCGGTTTGGTAAGACATTGTTTTGTTTTCCCACCGTGCAATTTCTGGCCTCTTTATAGTTCCTTAAAATTCTGCTTGCAAGCCGGCCACTTCCTCCTTGAGCTTAATGCAATTAGCAGTAGTCAGCACATACTTTCAACATCCTGCCCCAGATTTTTTTCATCCAATGTGACAAATGCTTCAGGCACATTCTTTACCTTCCAGACTATTCCAAGTGACAGCTTTGCCAAACGTTTTGCCATTACATAACATGAGTGCCATTTTACTAGCCTCCTACAACACTTCCCTCACCACCTGCCACCCAGTCTCAAAACCAGTGCCACGTATTTCAGGTTTTTGTTATGAAAGCATTCCACTTCAGATACCAATTACTGTATCGGTCAGCTATTGCTGCATGACAACCACAAAAGCTCAGTGTCATACAACAACAAGCACTTACTTTCTCACTCATTTGCCTGTGGATTGGAGATTCAGGGGGAAGGAATGAGTGATGAACAATAATTTCGTCTACCACACATAGCGAGGATATAGTGATTTTTCAATAAATGTCGGTCATTGTTAGCTATTCTGCCAACTCCTCATACAGTGACATTCCATAGTAAATATGCAGAATTGGCTTCTAATCCCAACTCCACCATTACCTCACCGTGAGGCTTAACGGAAGTCACTTAACCTCTCTAGGGCTTGGTTTCCTCATGTAAAAAGTGAGGACGCTGAGTGCAGTGGCTCACACCTGTAATTCCAGCATTTTGGGAGGCCGAGGGCGGTGGATTTCTTGAGCCCAGGAGTTCAAGACTAGCCTGGGAAACATAGTGAGACCTTGTCTCTATGAAAAATACAAAAATTAGCCAGGCGTGGTGGTGTGCACCTGTAGTCCCAGCTACTAGGGAGGCTGAGGCAGGAGGATTGCTTGAGCCCGGTTGCAGTAAGCTGAGATTGTGCCACTGCACTCCAGCCTTGGCGACAGAGCCAGACCCTGTCTCAAAAAATAAATAAATAAAACAGTGAGGACAGTGGAACTAGAATGTCAGATGTCTGTTGTAACTTTCACTTTTCCCCCTCCAAAGTCTGTGGTAGACTCACAAATAGATCAAGCCACCTTTTCCTCTGAGCCTGAACTTGAATTCGGAATTAATCTCCAGAAGGTACACCTTGTGGCCACCACTAAAATGATCTGAAGTTGGTTCATTAGATGAAATGATTGTTGTATCCTGAACTAGAATTGCCTCACTTAGAGCAAGATGTAACATTGGCTATCATCCAGCTCACCCTTCTTCTGAAGATGCAGGAATTTAGGTCCAGAGAAAGAAACAGCATGGCTGAGAGCACACAGCTAGTTAATGGAAGGCCATGCCAGAATCTGGGCTGGTATTCCTTTCACACCACACAGCTGGAAAGAGAGGGCGCTGGTCCTCAAATGCAGGTCTTCCAGTTCCAGGGATGTCCTCTCCCTCTGCTCTCTCATAGACACAGAACTGGGGGAAATGATTCCACTGGGTGGAGGGAGAGGGGGCTCTTCTTATTGCTTGGTAGGAGTAGAAAACCCTATGAAAGGCGCAGCCCTCTGTCAGCCCTCTCTACAAAACTCACCGTCTTCATTCACACTGCTTCACTTGACATCTTTTCTGTATAGTCTTTGAAACGATTATGTCAACATAGGAAAGGAAAGAGGTTAACACACTACAAAAAGGCCAGAGAGAAGAGCAGATGAGAGCTCATACTGGATGGAGATCACCTGGGTTTGCATCTTGACTCCAACACTTACCAGCTCTGTGATGTTGGGCAAGTCACAAGTCACTTATCTCTCCGTGCCTCAGTTTCCTCACCTGTAAAGTGGAAATACTAATAGTAATTACCTCAGAATGGTTATGAGGAGGCTGTTTAATATATATGTTAAATGTATGTAAAATATACATATAGGACTTAGAAGAGTCTCTGACACTTAGTAGAATTATACAAACATCAATTGTTACCTATTCCAGTTTTATTACCTTAGAGTTGTAGAAAATGCAGCAATTTGGAAAGCTCTGCTCTCTGCAGCCTTGCTCTCACCTGGCAGCATTCTGTCACCAACCAAATGAACCTGAAAGCCCCTCAGCCACCTCCAAGACATCACGACTTCACATACGTCATATGGACATAGGTGGTGAGAGATGCCCCTAAGGAAAAGTTCTTTTTCCATTTGATGAGAAACTAGAACTCAATTTTCAAGAAAGTCCGCATGCTTTTAGAGCTGCTTTTAGCAGAAAGGAGCCACTGAGTTGAAAGTTTCAGGGCCTTTTCTATTGGTGTGTGTGACTCATTTAGAGCAATGGTGATAAATGAGAGAAGGTCATGGGAGCTGGGGCAAGGCGGCAGGATTTGGTGGGGGGAATCGGAGCTCCATTGTTCGCAATGGATTGCTGGAGGAAATGCTGTTTGCTTGGGAGTCATTTGCAATTAACTCCACCTAGGATGAAAAATGGTGTGGGTATGAAAATGTTATACTACCCGTGTAATAATAAATCGTTAGCAGATGCTGTGGGCATGAAGATTGTTATTAGTGACTTTGGGGAGAAAAAGGTTTGTGGGAAATGTTTGATTCGAAGGGAGGACATGGTTCTTGCTCCAGCCCTGCCTGTTTGGTTGGCCACAGCACTGGGAGTTTATAGAATGGCTTGAAAAGGAGAAAGGCGTCATGTGCAGAGGGACCTGATCTGGCTCGTCCAAGCTGATGAGAGCTCTCTGTCCAGATGTGGAGGCCTGGAGCTCACCGTGCCCCTCCCGTAGGGAGACTGTATCTGGGCTTCTCGCTCTACTTTAGGTCCTGAGTCCTTGGAGGTCTGGGGCATTGCTGCTCTTGTGCATACCTGAGGGCCTCTGGCTGGAAGTGTCACACTCCAGGAAGAGCCACAATTTGGTTCAGCACAGCCATCATTTTTGGGGTGCTCTCTCTGTGCCAAATTCTCAACTCAACTCTCACCAGAGTGTTCCAAAAATTCAATCGTAAGAAGCAACAAAAATGTCTGACCCTCCCTCTCCCAAGAGTCTTCTGGGTAATCAAAGCTTGCAGCACATCCCACAAATATCTGCCTTTGCAGCCTTGTCTTGCACCCAGCATGGGCCCGGATAGTGCAAGGCTGAAGCACTCAGTGTTGGATAGCAAAGTGCTGGGTGGTGCAGTGGTTAAGCGTGGGCTTTGAGGTTAGCCCTGACCAGATTTGCCTGCAGCTTTGCCTCTTCTTAGTAGTAGTGTGGTTTTTGGCAAGTGAGCTCACCTCACTGATCCTCAGTTTTCTCACCTCTCAAATGGGCAAACAAGTAATATGTATCCTCAAGTACTTTTTTTTTTTCTTGAAACAGGGTCTTGTTCTTTCACCCAGACTGTAGTGCAGTGGCATGATCATACTTCACTGCAGCCTCAAACTCCTAGGCTTAAGCAATATTCCAACCTCAGCCTTCTGAGTAGCCAGGACCACAGACACATGCCACCATACCTGGCTAATTTTCTCTACCTTTTATAGAAACAGGGGGTCTCCCCATGTTTCCCAGGCTGGTCTCTAACTCCTGGCCTCAAGTGATCTTCCCGTGTTGGCCTCCCAAAGTGCTAGGATTTCAGGGCTGAGCCACAGTGCCCAGCCCCCACGTAATTTTTGAGGATTAAATAAGATATAGAAAACACTTAATCCAGGCCAGGTGCGGTGGCTCACGCCTGTAATCCCAACACTTCGGGAGGCTGAGGCAGGCAGATCACCTGAAGTCAGGAGTTCGAGACCAGCCTGACCAACATGGTGAAACCCCATCTTCACTAAAAATACAAAATTAGCCGGGCATGGTGGCGCATGCCTGTAATCCCAGCTACTGAAGAGGCTGAGGCAGGAGAATCACTTGAACCCAGGAGGCGGAGGTTGCGGTGAGCTGAGATCGCGCCATTACACTCCAGTCTGGGCAACAAGAGCAAAACTCCGTCTCAAAAAAAAAGAAAAGAAAACACTTAGTCCAATCCTGGAGAGTAGTAATAAGTCCTCACATGTTTTCAATGGTGACGTGTCAAACCCCTCACCGTGAGGGTTTCCATATCCAGGCTCTCCCCCTCCTGCCACCCTTCCCTTTGGTGCACTGCTTCCTCCCTGAGGCAGCCTAGCCAGCACTTCAGAGCATGAACTTTGGGCTCCACGGCCCCATCTTTAAGCCCTGGCTTCTCTACTCACTAAGTCTGCAAACACAAAGACGTGTCTTAGTTCTCCAGGCCGTGGTTGTCTCATGTGTAGAATGGGGATAATAGTGGCATATGCCACATCCGTGCTGTTAGGAGGGCTAAGTGAGACAGCGGCAGTAAACCACCGGGCACATGGGATGTGCCCCTCAGTGCCGAGTCTCAGAACTCTGCTAGATGCTGTGGGCAGGAGGACTAGAACAGGAATGAGGTCCATGCCCCAGGAGCTTGCAGTCCAGAACTCCATGCTGGCAAAGAGGCGTCTTGGTCCAGGCTCACTCTGCTCAACATTGGGGTGAGCTGGGGCCACAGATCTCTGCACTTCAGCACTCCTTTACCCCATTCCCCTCCCCCTCCTTCACTGCCATCGTCAGCCAAATCCTGTTTCCTTCACACCTGAGATCCACAGACAATTGGGCTTAAATCCGCACTTTCTCACTGTGTGACCTTGACCTTGGGCATGTTGCTTAACCTCTCTGAGCCCATTTTCTCACCTGCAGCTGTAGGGACCAAATAAGATGGAGCAGGCAGCATTCCTAGTCCAAAGCCTGGCACTGTTTCCAGGTTGAACTGTTCCCTCCATCCTTACTTTCGGTCCTAAGTGCAAACTTCTCTCTCTGCCATCTCCTCTCCAGATATATACTGTGCCCAAACACTTCTTCCAACACAGTGTGCCCTGTGGCTCCTGTTGTATTGGAATCAGAGTCTTCTGCATTCCACATCTTCTCTAGAACCACTCTTTCCATTTGCATCTTAGGGTAGAAACAGTGGCTCTCTCCCAATGTTAGCTCTCCTCACTGGGGTAGATTATTGTGTTTATGGCTCCAACTTTGTTCACTCTTTCTTTTTTTTTTTTTTTTTTTTTGAGACAGGGTCTCACTCTGTCACGCATACTGGAATACACAGGTACAATCACAGCTCACTGCAGCCTCAACCTCCCAGGCTCAGGTGATCCTCCCACCTCGGCCTCCTTGGTAGCTAGGACTACAGGTGCCTGCCACCACACCCAGCTAGTTTTTGTATTTTTTTTTTTTTTTAGAGATGGGATTTTGCTGTATTGCCCAGTCTGGTCTCAAACTCCTGGCCTCAAGTGATCTGCCCACCTCGGCCCCCCAAGTGCTGGGATTACAGGTGTGAGCCACCACACCCAGCCCTTTCTCCATCCCCTTATCTTCCCCTTACCTGATTCAGTACTTGCTGTGTGACTTGCTTCAGCCAATGGGACAATAGCAATGTGTGGCAAGAAGATATTTGGAAAGTGTTTGTGCCCTGGGGCTTGTTCTCTCTTGTGGCTCTTGGAACCCTCAGACAATCAGAGGAAGAGCGGCTCCAGTCATCCCAGCCATCTCAGCAAAGATGTCATAAACCCCACAACCCGAGCTGACCTATGAGCTGACCAAAAATGCAGGAGAGATTTAGGCCCAACAGAAGAACCATCCTGCTAAACACAGCCCAAATTGTTCACCTACAAAATCTGAACGTAATAAACAAATGATAGTTTAAGCAACTAAAATTTAGGTGGTTTGTTACACAACAAAAGCTAACTGAGGCCGGGCACAGTGGCTCATGCCTTAATCCTAGCACTTTGGGAGGCCAAGGTGGGTGGATCACCTGGGGTTAGGAGTTCAAGACCAGCCTGGCCAACATGGTGAAACCCTGTCTCTACTAAAATTAGAAAAATCAGCCAGACGTGGTGGCAGGAACCTATAATCCCAGCTACTTGGGAGGCTGAGGCAGGAGAATCGCTTGAACCCAAGAGGCGGGGGTTGCAGTAAGCCAAGATCATGCCACTGCACTCCAGCCTGGGTAACAGAGCAAGACTCCATCTCAAAAAACAAAAAGAAGCGAAAAAAAGCTAACTGATACACCCATGCCTACCGTGCAGCACTCAGGTGTTTTGGATGGCCTCTAATTAGTCTAATCCAATCTGGATAATCCCAGTCTCCTTGCCACAGGCTCTGGGATGAATAGAATTGAGCCAGTCAGCACACGAAATCCACCAGCCACCAACTTGTTCAGGAAAGGGCATGGGATCCAATTCAAGCCAATGAAACCACAGAGAGGTTTGCTGGAAGATTCTGAGAATAAAGCTTCCTTTATTATGAAAAATCTTTCAGACAATTTCTCTTCCTCTGGATTTTATGTGTGGATGTGGAGCCAGAAACTGCTACCTCTTTTTTGCCTCCAAAAAGGAAGCAGTCTGAAGACAAAGACTAAGCAAAAAGAGAGTACAGATGAGGGAATTGCAGAAAAAAGGACACTGGAGCCTTTGGATTAAGCTAACCTAAGACCATTGTACACATGGGCTTCACATTATATGAGCCAATAAATTTCCTTATTATTTAAACCAGTGTGAGTAAGGTTTTCTCCTATTTGCAGCCAAAGTCATCCCAATTGCTGTATCTCCTATCATAAAATGAAGAATGTCTCTTAAATGAATACACTTCCCACAATAACTTCACTCTGCAAGCGCTTCCCCCAACCTACCTGGTGACAAATTGAGGGCCCTAGTCAAGGAATGAGCACCTCACTCCCTCTGAGATAATGGATCTCTTCCCTGGGAATTTTTAAAATGTGTGTCCCAGAAGGTCAGTCTCTTTGGTGATTAAAGCTATAAGAAGTAAACCTCAGAACTGCATTGTGTCCTGCCACATGAAGAAAGTGATTCATTATGGAAACGGCAAATGAAACAAACATGTCCAAGAAGCAAGATATGGACAGAGAAAAGGACAGAGACACACATACAGTGAAAGACCTGTTGGCGTTAAAATCCCTGGTTCCAATAGTTCTTGAGACCCAGTTGCTTCCCTGACTGTCCCATAGCTTGACTAATCTACCCTTCCTAGGATACTCGAAGCCAACAAATTATCCTTCTCTTGCTTAAGTGTTTTTGAGGTTGGACCATTCTGTAATTTTCAGTCTGAAGTGATCTTTAAAATGTGCTCTACACTCCATCCCTTGATATCATCCTTGATGAACTCAGCATCCAAGATGATATCACTCTTGACATCCTGCTCTTACAGTTCTCCAGCCTCCTTAACTCCAGCAACATTCTCCTCTATATCACTGCCCCCAGGCCAGGGACCCTGCCATAACTCTGAACTCTTCCACCTCCAATGTCTCAGACAGAGCTGTGATGTCATACTCAATGCACAGATCTAGAGTCAGAAGCTCTTAAAGCTCTTGAAGGATGATTGAAGCTTAGAAATCAAACCTGCCTATTTTCGGCCAGGCATGGTGGCTCACGCCTATAATCCCAGCACTTCGGGAGGCCAAGGCGGGTGGATCACCTGAGGTCAGGAATTTGAGACCAACCTGGCCAACATAGTGAAACCCCATCTCTACTAAAAATACAAAAATTAGCCAGGCATGGTGGCGTGCACCTGTAGTCCCAGCTACTCTGGAGGCTGAGGCGGGAGAATCACTTGAACCTGGGAGGAGGAGGTTGCAGTGAGCTGAGATCGCACAACTGTACTCCAGCGTGGGCGATAGAGTGAGACTCATCTCCCTACAAATTCTGGACCAAGTGCTGCTCTTAGTGACACCCTGAGATCCCTTGAACCCATGCCCTACAGTCTTGTCCTCTATAGACAAAGACCTTGTCCTTTGACCTGTCTCTAATTCTCAGACCACTGAGCTCTGAGGGAAATTATGTGCCAGAGCTTCTCAGTCATTCAGTCCACAAACATTGATTGAGCACCAATGATATGGAGTTCACTGGTTGATTAGAGATCAAATCCAGCCCCTGCTTTTGCCAAGCTCTCAGTTTTATGGGGGATCCATACTATATATCACACATATTATACTGTGTGAATGCTATAAACAAATAGCATTCACACAGTGTATTAAGTCCTATGTTTTAAATGAGAGTATTATAATAGCCCAGTGGGGAAGTAGCCACTAGAGAAAGTGCCCTACAGTTGGTTAACTTCTGAGTTCAATTTTGAAGAACTAGTAAGAATTTGGGCTGGACACAGTGGCTCACGCCTATAATTCCAGCACTTCTGGGAGGCCAAGGCAGGCAGATCACCGGAGGTAAGGAGTTCAAGACCAGCCTGGCCAATATGGTGAAACCCCGTCTCTACTAAAAAATACAAAAATTAGCCAGGTGTGGTGGCGGGTGCCAGTAATCCCAGTCAGGAGGCTGAGGCAGGAGAATCACTTGAACCCAGGAGGTGGAGGTTGCAGTGAGCTGAGATCGTGCCACTGCACTGCAGCCTGGGCAACAGAGGGTCTCAAAAAAAAAATTTGGAGGCATAGGATACTGCAAGCAGAAAGTAAATGCAAAGTGACTAGAGTATTCATTCATAATTCAACAAATATTTATTGTGAACCTACTAAGTGGTAGGCATTATTACAAACACAGAGGATTCAGTGACTCAAACTCTACCTATTCCTGCTTTTTCCCAGACAAAACCCTAAGCTTCCCCTCACCAATGGGTATGAAAGACCGTGGCATATGTGGAGGACTATTTAATACCCTGGTCACCTGTGAATCTTCTCCCTCACACCAGCCACCAACTGCCATTGATTCATAGACCTTTATATTGGTAACACCTCCACTGTATCCATATTCAGTGGCATCTTGTTAATTTCAGTCAAGTGTGCCAAACTATCCACATTTTTTAAAATACCGAATAGCCATTCAGTGTGTTTATTATCACTTCCAGGTTTGCATTACCTGCAGTCAGTAAAGCATCTTCCTCAGCATCTTGATCATAAGATCAAGTATTATTCTGTGATGATAATACTCACAGAAGTATTAGACACATTGTGCTTGAAATTAAATTATCATCGCATGCCAGACACGTGGTGCTGACCAAGAAGGGTTGTCTCCTCACTGACATCAAATGATCCCCTCATTCGACAACCCAAATTTTGACTATGTGCTTGACACTGTTCTAGTGACAGATAGGTAGACATAACTAACTATGCTCTTGAAGTATTTTGTATCTAGACAGACTTAACAGAGAAGGCAGCTAGTAACCCTGACAAGAGAAGGCAGGAAATATTTCCGAAAAAAAAAAAAAGAGGTGGGGACATTTAGGCTAGCTCTTGGCAGATGCATAGGAGTATGCAGGGTGGCTAAGAAGAGAGGAACATCCAAGGAGAGAAAACAGTGTGTGCAAACGTGATGTTTCAGGAATCTGAGTGCCTGGGTGAGGCTGCAGCTTGGGGCATATGGGGATTGGAAATGTGGGCAGGTACCAGATGCTAAGAAGCCCCATGTCTAATTAATTCTTTAAATCCATGTCATCCTCCATCAAGTCCACAAAGACATCTTGAGAAGCCACTCAGTTTTGTTGTGGAGCTGAGTGTGCCTGAAGTTCCAAGTAGCACCACTTCTTGATAAATAATTCAAAGCCCTGTCTTCATGAATCCACATACATCTTCTCATTCAAGGAGTCTGATTTATAGACACTTAGCTTTTGAACACAAAAGGCACTGATTCTATTTTGTTGGGTTTTTGTTTTTGTTTTTGTTTTTTTTTTAAGCAGAAGTGTTCAGGATTTACTACACTGATAGGCATGTATGGAAAATGAGCACAAGAGGAGCTGGGGGCTATTTGTATAAATATATGGGAATGCTAATGCAGTCCAACTGCAGATGAACCATCCTGCTGCCTGCCTCCCAGTCTCTCCATCCCAAGGCGCAGAGAGGGACAAGATGCTCTCTGTCCACCCCAGTGATTCCCTATTACAGCTCAGCCCCTCTGCGTCACAGATGGGAAAATCATCTAAAGCCATGCAGAATGCATGGAACCACTCGGAGCTCTGCACCTCGAGCTAATGAAGTTTCCACTTCCTTGAAGCCTCTTTAGTTTCTTCCAGTCCAAAGCACATGTGGACCTCTACAGGGAGGTAGTGTGGCTGACCGGAGAGCAGGTCCTGACATGAGGGAGGTTCTGCCATGCACCAGCTGCATGATCTTAAGCAAACTACTTAATCTCTCTATGCCTCAGTTTTCTCACCTCTGAAATGGGGGTAACAATGAGTAGATGTCGTAAGGATTAAATAATGTTGGGAGTGCTCCCTAAACACGCTCATCTGTAGTTCAAAATTGTGCTGAAGGGACTTTATGTCTTTTGCCATATTTTTTTGTGGGGTTGGAGGGTTTATTTTTTGGTTTTTGTTTTTGTTTTGAGACGGAGTCTTGCTCTGTCACCCAGGCTGGAGTGCAGTGGCGCGATCTCGGCTCACTGCAACCTCTACCTCCGGGTTCAAGCAATTCTCCTGTCCCAGCCTCCTGAGTAGCTGGGATTACAGGCACACGCCACCATGCCTGACTAATTTTTTTGTATTTTTAGTAGAGACGGGGTTTCACCATGCTGGCCAGGCTGGTCTCGAACTCCTGACCTCGTGAGCCGCCCACCTCAGCCTCCCAAAGTGCTGGGATTACAGGCTTGAGCCACTGCACACAGCCTTTTGTTTTCTTTTATATCATGTCTGCACATCTATGGTGTAAAGTAAGAACTTTACTTCCATCTGTATAAATATCTTCATCTTGTGTGAAGTTATTTGGATATTTCTTTAACCCAACAGCTGTAAAGTGAGTAAATCCAGTGTTCTTGAAGGTTGAGGAAACAGGTTTTCTTTTTATGCTGTTGAATTGTAAAACATGTAATCAAATTTAAAATACAAATACCCTAAAATCTTATGATCTTGCTCCAGAACTCTATCTTACAGAAATATTAGTAAGACCATGTGAGGCACAAAGTGTAACATTGGTTGTAATGGTAAAAAAAAAAAAAAGTGGAAATAATTTCCATGTGCATTCACATCTGAATGAATAAATTATAGTATATCCCTGCCAATAAAATTCTACACAACCAGTTAAAAGGTGCCATATGTACAGACTTGGAAAGAAGTCTATAACATATTGTAAAGTGAAAAAGGAAGTTGCCACACAATCTGTAGAGTGTTAATACTCATTTTGGATTTTAAAAGCCATGTTTAATAAAAATCACTAATGATTTATTAAATGCTTATTCTTTGCCAATTATTTAAATATTTTACCCTTACAGCAACCCCTTGAGATAAGTACTATTATCCCATTTTGTAGATGAAGAAACTGAGGCACTGAGAAGTTAAGTAATTTTCCCAGGGTTGTGGAGTTAGCAAGTAGTGGAGCCCAGAATCGAACCGGCCCATCTGGCCGCTGAGCCCACCCCTTCAGCTCCACGTGTCAGAAGCAAAGAAAAAGGTCTCAAACTGGAATGGGGAGGACAGTCCTTCTCCACCTCCTTTATCCACTTTTATGTTGTTTGGATTTGTTGCAATGAGCATGTAATTGAAAAATAAAAATTTTATAAAAGCACCCAACCATGTGGAATCCTTGCCTGGGATAGGAGCCAAGAGTGGGTGGAGGGACCACAGACACTTTTCCCAGCCAGGCTAAGCTCAAACCTGACGTCCACAGATCCCCAATATACACCTTGCCCGTCGGCAAGGAGAGGTGTGTGGGGAAAGGCACCAGTTTGGGCCTAAGACAATCTGAGTGCAATCCCACCTTCACCACCTTCCAGCTGGGTGGGCTTTCACAAATGTCTTAACCTCTCTGAGCCCCCACTTCTCAGCTGCAAAAGACTAATGCCACCATTACAGGCTTGCTATGAGGATTAGAGAGAATGACTTATGCACAGCAGGTGATCAGGAAGAGGAGCTTGTTGTGGCTACTGGGTCCCATCTCTGCAGCCATGGCTCCTGGGAACTTAGCATCATGTGAATAAAGACAAAGTCCGCTGGCTGACATCGTCTGGGAAAATTTTCTTGTCACACAGCGTTCATAACCAACTCTCAAGTCCAAACTCAATTCAGAGAAAGAGGATTTCACAATTATAAATTCAAAAGCCCAATAACTTCCCAAGTCTCCCCCTAGCTTCAAGGCTCCTCCCATTCCAACGAACAAAAGGGATGGAAAAAGAGATTTCTGTTCCCACTTTACCCAGTGATCTAGTCTCAGCCTCTGGTGTTCCAAATCTGGTCAGGCGTTTGGAAGAAACAGTTTGCCTCGAGTCTGCCTGTCAGTGGGTCTGGGAACCACCTGGACAATCGGATGCAAGGCTGCAATACAGAAAGAACAAAGCCTTTAGACTTGGGTCCTGCCTTTAGAAACCTCAATTTGAGGGTGCTCAGCACACGGGAGACAGAGAAGGGCTAGAAGGTATTGTGACCCCTTTAAAGTTTATATTTCAACTTTAAAATGACTTTAATATTCTAATATTCTCCCTCCCAATATTATGCAGCATTACCTGCATTGATTGGATTATCCAGATAATGACTGGAGTCTCTACTACCCCTACTCCCAGCCCCTAACTGGGTACTGACCTCAGAGTGAAAGCACTCCCCCTTCTGAAAGCCCTTGTGAAGCCTGCGTGATGCTGTGTAATCTCCCAGGCAGCTTCGTTTATCACTATTCTACGTTCCTACAGATTCTTAGTGTAATGACACCCTTTCTGAGGCAGCAGCGATGGTGCCAAATGGCACTTGCATTTCCAGGAAAGCAGCCAAACTCATTAAGTTAATAAAGGAATTTAGCTGTATAGAGATGCCTCCTTCACATACATTCCCGAAAAACCCTCACTCTCACAACTCAGCAGCAGCAGCCGTTAAATCTCTGCCTCCACCTGCAAAGCACTGGCCCCACTGAGTCAAACCGCATTGGCCCTGCGGTCAGCTGCAGAAGACAGGGCACATCTCAGAGCCTGGCCAGCTGACTTCTCTGCCACTTCTGCTCCCAAAGCAGCTCCCCAAGGTCCCTCTCTCCGTGCCAGAGTGAGCCCCATTAGGGCCCACAGATCCTGGTCAGGGATGGGACAGGCTCCCTCTGCCTGGTTGTTATAGCTGGACTGTCTGGAGTCACAGCATAGCCTGGGCTGGTAGGAAGCAGTTGTCACATGAACCATCACAAGTGCCACCTGTGTGGTCTTCTTGCCTCGGTCTTACCCTCTCTGATCACACTTCCCCGTTGCAGCCAGGGGAATCTTTCTAAACTATAAATCTCCCTGTATCACTCCTCCAGCATATTGTTTCAACAGCTCCACATGACTCGCAGGAGGCCAGTCCAAACTCCTAGTAGCATCAGGCCTCCCAGGGTACCTCCACCACCACTTGCCTCTCCAGCCTCTGCTCACATCATCACCCATCCAGCTCCCAAAACACACCCAGCTCTCCCTCACTCCAGGCCTTTGGGTACCACTCTCCAGATGCTGTGATGCCTTCACCAGCCCCTCTGCTTCCTCTTCCTGCATAACTACAGTTTTTCCTTCAAGACTCCATGCAGAAATCTCTTCCTCCTGGAAGCTTTACCTGGCATCCCAAGTTTCCTTAACTCAGGTGCTCCTCTTTTAAACCCCACAGCAACTGGTGTGCCCACACACCTGAGCCCATACCACACTGAATTGTGGTCATCTCCTTTATTCTCAGTCTCCACAGTTGTGGAGCACACAAAGAGCAGGCACTGTCTTTTTCACCTCTGCATTCCCACGTACCTGGCACACACAGGCACTACATAAATGAAGCCACAGGCTCCTGTCTTGTGGAATGGGCCTCAGTGTCCTGCATGTTGAATTCCTGTCTCCTGCCATCCTATCTCCTCAATGACCTTTATAGAAATGTCCACCCTTGGCCGGGCACGGTGGCTCACACCTGTAATCCTAGCACTTTGGGAGGTCGAGGCAGGCAGATCACAAGGTCAGGAGTTTGAGACCAGCCTGGCCAACATGGTGAAACCCCGTCTCTACTAAAAATACAAAAATTAGCTGGGCATGGTGGCACACACCTGTAATCCCAGCTACTCGGGAGGCTGAGGCAGGAGAATCACTTGAACCTGGGAGGCGGAGGTTGCAGTGAGCCAAGGTCACGCCACTGCACTCCAGCCTGGGTGACAAAGTGAGACTCCACCTCAAAAAAAAAGACAAAAAAGGAAAAGAAATGTCCACCCTTTTTCTAGTGCCCAGATCTCTCTTCCTTGCCCTCTCTTAGCTTTTTCTCTTCTCCTCTATCATACATACTTGTCAAACTGAAGCTTTAAGTATTTTCATTTCTCCACTCTTGGGAAAGGTTTCACCTGGTCCCATCTGCTGCCTTGGAGTGACCCATCCATCTCTCCAGCCCTGGTTCCCTCACCTCAGTTCCTACACCTTTAACTCCACCAAGGGTTGGGGAGTCCCTTCACCCTCCTGCCATCCTGCAAAGGGATGTGAGAGCCACCAGGGGGTCAGCCTCTGGTCCACTCAGCCCCGGTTCTGGCTCCAGCCAGGTCCCCTAAGACACATTATCACTGCTCCATAGTGGGGGGTGGCTGCATGACAGACTCATTTCCCTTAATCATCCTACACTGATCAATTGTTGAGTTCAGCCAAGCCTCTCAGGAAGGGTTTATATTTCCTATTGGCACCAGCTCTTGGCATAATGAATTGCTGGAGTTTACTAGCATCTGAATGTGTTTCAAACACTCTTCTTCCAAGTGTCAAGGCACAGAAGGTAATTAGCATCCTGGAAGTAGTGGCCACATGTGGGTTGTGGTCTTGCACAAAGCCTCCTACCCCACTCCGCCAGGATTCAGAATCCTCCTCCATAAGAACCAACAGAAGCATTGATTCAGCCAAGGATCCAGATCACCGAAATCTCTGAAAGGGAATCATAAGGCAAATAGCTGCAGGAGGCAACACTGGTGCTTATAAGGGCCACCAATGGCTGGCTTGCAGGAACACTGTGGCCAAGACAAGAGACCCCTATGGGTAGAACCCAGGGCAGAGGCTGGTCTAGGAACCCCAGGACTGAACCTTCAGCTGACTGATGAAAGAAGACTATGATGATCAGGATCTAGTCGGGAAAACCGAAACCACTCTAGTATTTCCATCACAGGGAATTTGATAGGAAGGACGGGCCACAGTGAGGATAAAAAAGATGAAGAAGCCACGCAGAGATGGTAAAGCCACCCAAATATGAGCAACAGCAGGGGCTAGTTTCCCCTCCAACAGCTGCAGGACACGGGGGTGACAATATTACCAAAACCGAGAAGCCAGGGCCACCCAGCCCGAGCTAGAACCATAGCAGAGATTGCCAGGAAATGCTGAGACCGTGGTGTGAGGGGCCATCCAGCTGGGACCTGAAACAGCTGTCCAGATGCAGCCATGGCCAGAAAATGCCCTCCCCCACCCAGAGCAGAGAGAAAAGGAGAAATGGCCTGACCTCTCCCTTCCTCTCATGCTCCAATCTCCTGCCAAACCTAGACAAACACCCGTGGCAAGGGAACCTGGGAAACACAGCTTGCAGGAGAAAGACGGGGGATGGATCTAAAAGCCAGGGGCAATGACCAACCGAGGGACCACTGGAAAAACAGACACCCGTAGTTCATGTGCCCCTCTCTGTTCTCCTTAGCGTTTTATAGCGTTCGGTTGTGTCCTTTCTCAGCTTCCATCCTTCTAGACTGAAGAGTTTGTCCCCACGAGGCAGACTTCTGTGTCCATCCTATGGGCTCAATTAATTTTACAATTCTCCAAATACTTACTATGCATCAAATATGTGCCAGGCACTCTGCTGGGCAATGGGAGGAAGGGGATGCTGATAGAAATAAGCTATCACTCTTGCTCTCAAAGTACTCGTGGTCCAGGGGACAGGGGTAACAGATAGTGCACAGCTCGCTATAACAAGAAGTAAATAATTTATGTGTGGCCAGTGAAGGAACTGTGCCTGGGGACATGGGAGAAGGCTTCCTGCAAGAGATGACATCTGAACTGGAATAGAGGAGGAGGAGTTTATCAAGTCGGAGAAAGCCTCCCAGATAGAGGGAGCAGTCTCCCAAAGGCACCCAGTGGGTGGCAGAACGCAGTGGTTCTGGAGACGCCGAGAAGGCAAGGCTGACACGGAGACCATGTCGGGAGAAAGATACAGACAAGGCCTGAAGCTTGTACCAGAGCTAAAGGACCTGGAGCACCACACAGCAGTGGGGAGTCATAGAAGGGGTTTATTGAAGGGTGTGATACGATGAGGTACGAGTTCCAGAAAGGTCTCTCTGACTACCTACATGAAGGATGTGTTGGAAGGGGTGTGATCAGAGACAGGGAGAAAGTTTAAGAGGCAATTACAGGGTAATGCATGGTAGAAATGATGATGAGCAGAGAGGATGGAGAGGAGGACCAGGGACAGGAAATGAGCTGTCTTAGGGACAGAGCACTGTGAGGGAGGATGAGGGTTGCAGGCCCCTGATACGTGGCCTGGCATTGAGCTTTGCAGTCTGTGTGCATTTCCAAGGTGGTGCTGAGGTCAAAGCTGAGCCCAGAGCCCTGAGGATGTGCAAAGAGAGAGAATGAGCCCAGAGCCCTGAGGATGTGCCTGGTGGTGCCAGGCCTTGGGGACTGTTTTTGCTGCAGTTGTACATTGGGCACTGACATCAGAGTTCCCTGAATCATACCAGAGCAAGGTTTGAGTCATTTTCCCAAATGGCTCCCTGTATCCACTTCTTGGTTCATCTATTTTAATGGCTCTGAAATTTTATCTCTTTACCCACTGATTTCTGAGCTGGGGAGCAGAAACTTCAGTTCCCCAGAGCCTGTTTGAGAGACTGAAATCTTGGTCTTAGATTGACTCCCCTAGTTTCTCCTTTTTTTCCCCCAGTTCTTCCCTCCCTCCTCCCTATCTTAGCCTTGTATTATATGATAGTCTGAGATACTAAGAAGCAACATAGAAGAATCAAGAACGGGGTTTTTTTTAGCCAATCCAGATGTGAGTAAACAAATACAAAGAAGAAATAAATGTAAACAGCAATCCTTCGTCTTCTACTCCTCAGAAAATATCAACTGAGACATTTCAGGGGGGTGAGTTTAGAGCCAGGTCCACATGTGCCATATCCTTGCACAGTCCTGCACGATGAGAAATTATGCGCCTTTTATTGAGAGCTGACTTTGTGCCTGGAACTGTGCAGGACACTGAGCACCCAGAGATGGGCAAGGCACACTCCCTGCCCCATGAATTCATGCCCTAAGCCCCTGCAGACTGGCCCCAGCTCACCCCTCCAGCAACCTCTCGTGCCACTTCCTACCACACATCCTTCAACCGTAGTGACATGGAAGGGACTGGGATTCAGAACTAAAAACTCCATAGACACAGATGAAGAATGAGGCATTTAACCCGAGTGGTTCTGTGCAGAGAGAACCACTCTTTCGGAGTTAGCTCAGCAGGCTGTTTGGGGGCCGCCACAGACACAGTGAGACTGTCAAGGAGGTGCGTGATTCCGTGAGTACATGCGAGGAACAGGTTCTGTGTCGTGTTGCCGCAAAGCCCTGGGAGGAAGGCAAGAAAGCAAAAGACCAATCCGTCGAAGGAAGTCAGGGACTGGTAAGAACCCTGGACAGCTCCATGAAGGCCAGCTCTTGTCCTAACCTTCATTCATTCCTTTGTTCAACACATAGTGAACTTCTACTTACATATAACTAATCCACTGCATTAGGTGCCGGTTGTATGGTGGTGTGCAAAATGGACATAATCCCTGCCCTCAAAAAAGTTATAGTGTAAGAAATAGGCAAGAACACATCAAGAATCAGTGGCCTCTCCCCTGCAGCCGGAGAGCTCCCTAGTCTGGGGGAAACTGCAGATGGGCCTTGGTCTGATTGTTCCAGGCCACACCTCCTTGAAAAGGGGGACTTGGGGCCGGGCGCGGTGGCTCACGCCTGTAATCCCAGCACTTTGGGAGGCCAAGGCGGGTGGATCATGGGGTCAAGATATCGAGACCATCCTAGCCAACATGGTGAAACCCTGTTTCTACTAACAGTACAAAAATTAGCTGGGCGTGGTGGCAGGCACCTGTAGTCCCAGCTCCTCGGGAGGCTGAAGCAGGAGAATCCCTTGAACCCAGGAGGCAGAGGTTGCAGTGAGCAGAGATCACGCCACTGCACTCCAGCCTGGCAACAGAGCGAGACTCCTTCTCCAAAAAAAAAAAAAATCTGCCCAAGATCCATTGGGCAGCAGAGCCTTGTCCTCCAGTCTAAGGAAAAATGATCATAGGCTGGGCATAGTGGCTCACACCTGTAATCCGAACACTTTGGGAAACTAAGGTGGGAGGATTTCTTGAGCCTAGGAGTTCAAGACCAGCCTGGGCAACATAATGGGATCCTGTCTCTACAAAAAAGTTTAAAAAAAAAAAAAAAAAGACAGGTGCGGTGGCTCGAATCTGTAGTCCCAGCTACTTGGGGGGCTGAGGTGGGAGGATCTCGAGTCTGGGAGGTCAAGGCTGCAGTAAGCCGTTATCACACCACTGCCACTCCAGCCTGGGTGACAGAGTAAGACCATGGCTCAAAAAAAAAAGTGATCACGGTGGGAGCCTAGGAGATCCTTAAGAGTCAGGAGAGGCATCCCGTTAGTGGATCTGCTAATTGCACCTCAATCAGCACTGGATTCACAGAAAGGTTCCTCCTCTTGCTCCCAGAAGCAACCTTCCAGATTGCTTTTAATGCATTCTCTCATGATTAGAAGAAGCCCTGTTTAATCAGCTGTTTAATTATCGCCACCTACTGGCCTAAATTAAATTTTGTCAAGAAAAGAGAGCCTGGAGTAATGGAGTTTAACGACCAGTTGACATCATGGATTTGTAGTTTTCTAGGGAGGTTTAGCAGGGCTGTCACAAGGGGCGTCATTAATTCTCCGCAGTAAGCCCCAGACAGTTGCAAATTTAGCTTATTCTTAAAGGCTTCTGGAAGGGAATTCCACGCTAACCTCCCCTATCTCATTCCTACAACTTAGCATCCCTCACTGGGCAGAAGTCCTACCCCAGGGCTAATCCTAGTTCCTCCTGCTGCACTTAAAGCCCCCTTGCTTTGATTGTCATCCATGGAGCTGGATGTTCTCAGCGGCCATCATCTGACCTCTGTATTTTCTAGCTCAGAAGCCTCCATAGGGAGGGGTAGGCAACAATCCACTTGAGGTACAGATACGTTCTGAGAGGCTCGGGCTTCCCCCATGTAATGGCCAAGGCAAGCGCGGAGCAAGCCGAAAGCAGCCTCGGGAGTGAGAGGAGGACAAGCCTATTGGAGAGGGATCTGCTGGCTGGTCACTCGGCGAGCACACGACTCAGCATATCAGTGCCATTGCGATGCATGGGAAGGAGGAGGCTTTGGAGTCTTATAGATCTGGTTCTCATCTGCAAAATAGGGACAATAATTTTAATCTTAAAAAAATAGTTGGGAAAATGAAATGAGCTAACTCTACAAAGTGCCTGGTATGAAACAGGTCCCATTCAACAGACGTGTCATCTGCTTGTCTCCCAACTCCCAGGACTGTCATTAAGAAAACTCCATTCAGGCCAGGTGCAGTGGCTCATGCCTATAAACTCAGCACTTTGGGAGGCCGAGGTGGGCGGATCACCTGAGGTCAGGAGTTCAAGACCAGCCTGGCCAACATGGTGAAACCCTGTCTCTACTAAAAATTTAAAAAATAAAAAATCAGCTGGATGTGGTGGTGCATGCCTGTAATCCCAGCTACTTGGGAGGCTGAGGCACAAGAATCGCTTGAACCGGGGAGGTGGAGGTTGCAGTGAGCCGAGATCGTGCCGCTGCACTCCAGCCTGGGGGACAGGGTGAGAGAAAAAAAAAAAAAAAGAAGGAAAGGAAAGGAGAGGAGGGGAGGGGAGGGGAGGAAAGAAAGAAAACTGGATTCAACCATTTTGTGTACTCACAGCACATTGTTCTGGAGCGACTCAGTGAACAAATTTACATACATATAAAGATACATGATAAAATTAAAATGTTATTACCTTAGTATGTACAGCAAGCAAAATTAAAACAAGAGTAGGGAGAAAATAAGATGAAACCAGGAGTTAACACTGTAGACATATCATGTGCTTTAAGATTGAACTTGGCATGTACATTTTTAAGAGATGGGCCAAACCTCTGACTTGAAAACCTCCCAGAAGACAAATAAAAGATGCATGAGTCTAGTTGCTTGATGCCGTGGTTGAAAGACAAAAATAATGAACTCTCAAGAGAAGCATATTTCTTTTTTTTCTTTTTTTTTTTGAGACGGAGTCTCACTCTGTCGCCCAGGCTGGAGTGTAGTGGCGCAATCTCGGCTCACTGTAACCTCCGCCTCCCGGGTTCACGCCATTCCCCTGCCTCAACCTCCCGAGTAGCTGGGACTACAGGCACCCGCCACCATGCCCGGGTAATTTCTTTTTGTATTTTTAGTAGAGATGGGGTTTCATCATGTTAGCCAGGATGGTCTCAATCTCCTGACCTCGTGATCCGCCCACCTTGGCTTCCCAAAGTGCTGGGATTACAGGCATGAAGCACATTTCTGAACCCAAATTTTTATATGTGTGATCTCTTCAACCCAGAAATTCCTTTTCTGGGACTCTGTCCCTTGGAGGTACTCACATGTGTGTGATAAGATACACTTGTGTACGAAGTTGGTTATCACCATGTGGCTGGTAACAGGAAAATGCAAATGAAAGCCAGCTAGATTTCCATCAAATTTGACTAATCAAATAAATTATAGTAGATCCAAACTATGAAAAACTCAACAATTACAAAAAGAGAAGAAAGAACGACTTAGATCCATATGTACTAACATGGAGGGATCTGCAAAATATTTTAAGAGGAAAAAAATTCACTCCTAAAAAACTTAGATCCTATATATTTGGCACATAGAAAAGTAACTGTGTTCATGTAAAACTGTGTTTTTTTTTTCGTGGAACACTGAAACATTCATGTAACATTGGTTATTCCTGGGAAGTAGATCTGATGGTGCAGAAAGTCAAAAGAACATTTTTATTTTTCCCCCTACATATTTCTGTATTATATTTTTATAATCCTAATAAATCTAAACAACAAGATGAAAATGTCATTTTAAAAGTTACATGTAATTGGATAGTAGTATTGCATCAATGTTTTAAGCTTCCTGAATTTTATCATTGTACAGTGGCATATAAGAAAACATCCTGATTCTTAGTAGATACTGCCAAAGTTCTTAGAAGTAAATGTTATGGGCCAGTTGTGATGGCTCATGCCTGTAATGCCAGCACTTCGGGATGCCAAGGGGGGGGGGGGTGCAGATCACCTGAGGTCAGGAGTTCGAGACCAGCCTGGCCAACATGGCAAAACCCCATCTCTACAAAAATACAAAAATTAGCCAGGCATGGTGGCAGGCACCTGTAATCCCAGCTACTAGAGAGGCTGAGGCAGGAGAAACGCTTGAACCCAGGAGGCAGAGGTTGTAGTGAGCTGACAATCGTGCCACTGCACTCCAGCCTGGGCAACAGAGCAAGCTTCCATCTCAGGGGAAAAAAAAAAAAAAGAAGTAAATGTTATCATATCTGCAACTTACTCCCAATAATCAGCAAACACAATTAAAAGATAAAACAATAGTAAATGTTAATAATTGGTGAATGTAGGTTAAGGTTATATGGGAGTTCACTGTACAACTCTTGACATTTTCCTGTAAGTTTGAAATGTTTTCAAAGTAAAAAGGGTCTCTGAAAAGTTATGCATGACTTCCTCCGTTTAGCATAGAGACCTGGGTGTGCCTTGCCTGGTTTCTAAGAGGACCTTATTGGTGGGTGTTTTAGGCCTATAAAGCAGGAACAAGTCATTGTTCTTTACTGAGATTTAAATGCAGTTAAGATCAAATGAGAATACTCAGAGTGAGAGATGCGTTCTGTTGTAACCGATGTAAATTGACTGTGACCTTTGGCTATCGTGTGTTCTTGGAAGATGGTGATGCGGGTATGTGTATTCTTGTCCAAGTTCACAGGACATTAAAGCAGACCATGGTAGGGGCAACACCAAGTCCTAATATTTCCTTCACTTCACACTGGAGGAAAGACTAGAAGGAGGAAGAGGAGTAACAGGGAGAGGAGGAGGGCTGGATGAACTAGACTATGTTTTTTAACAAAAGATTTCACCTGTTGATGTTCAAAGCACCGTTTTATCTAAGCCTGAAACACACCAACTTGGGGGAAATGAATTGTCAAACTATTGAGATGATCTTGTTGGGTCCATAACACTGTTGGATACAGTGAGTTCCTTTTCAAAGGTTCCGCTTGTTCAATTCTCTCATTCTTTGTCCTCTATTTTCAAAGCCTAACTGTTCTGCCTCCTTGCCCCTAGTTACAGTAAACAACCTTCCAGCCGTTCCCAATCTGTAACTCACATCCATTCCCAGTCTGTAACCCACATCCATTCACAATCTGAAACAACCCACATCTGTACCTTATTTGGCCAAAACTGCTCTTCCCGCTGCTGTAGCCCCCACCCCTGCTCCATTTGAAGTAGCCAATCAGGATCAGCTTAGACTGCGCAGTCCAACTCCAGCCAATGGGGCCCGGACACAGCATCAGGGACTGACTGGGTCAGGGATAAAAACCCCTTCCCTCCTTTGTTCAGTGTGCTCTTGCAGTGGCCAGAAGGGCAAGCGAGACCCTTCTCCAGAAGTAAATTTGCCTTGCTGAAAAAATCCTTTATTTGAGTGCTCATTTTCTCTGTGACTCCGAGCTTTTATTTCCAACAATACCAAGCACACACCTGAAGGGACTAGATATTTCCATGTCGATCATCCTGGAAGGAGGATAATCCTGGGGCCTGTGCTAGGAGTGATGTGAATGTAGGACAGCTTGTTCTCTTTCTAAGTATTAGAGCCAGAGGGTCCTGGCCTCCAAAGGGCAGAGGAGGCTGCAGAATCTTGAGGCTGGGCAATGACCTGCCTGTGTGTAATGGAAAGCACCAGAGCTACAGAGGGCTCCAGCTGGAAAAGGGATAGCAGGGATGATCCTGGACCAGAGAGGGCTCTGAGGACAGTGTGAGCCACAGCTACAGAGAGTGATGCCCTGATGTATTTACTATCCTTCATCCCTGAACCTTGGGGAAGTTCTTGCTCAAAATCATATCCTCATGTCACGGTCTCAGCTGTGCCGTAAATTGGGAAAATCTTGTCCCACATTTCAGGAATGGGCCAGAAAAGAGCCGTGCCCTAAAATGGTGGTGACAGAGAGGACACCTGGGCCCAGCAACTTCAGGAGGATAGAAATGGGGTCTGAGACCAAAGGGACGGCAGCAAGGTAGTCAAGACCAGTCGATCAGAGGGGAACCAAGAACTGACTTCAGAACCCCATGAGGCAATGCCTGGGACACGCTTAGAAATAGGTGGGAGGAGAGGAATTTCAAGGAGGCTGATTTCAAGTTATCCAGATCTTGATTCAAGTCATAGTAATTTGAACCTAAAGAGAAGGCCTCACTGTACTCTGCTGGAGTACTGGCCATACAGATATTCCTCATGAGTTAAGTTTTAATTGAAAATAGCATGACTTGAATAAAAGTGAGTTTTAATGTGTTCCTAAAATGCCTCAAGGAAAGGAAACAAAGGCCCAAAGCACCAGAAACAGGGATAATTTTAAAAATTCAGGCTCAGAGAGCGCCAGTGGGTCCTCTCCACCAAACCCATGAGGCTGCTTCAATTCTCAGAAAGTACTTGAGTGCCATCTAGTGGCCAGAGTGAGTAGCTGTTTGGAAGGATAAGAAGGAAAGCATTAAAGGAAAGCGTTCAAAAGACATTCAATGTCTGTGGTATTGATTGTGCTGACATTGTGGGCCAGGCACTGATTTAGGCATAGCGGATACAACAGCGAACAAAACAAGCCAAGTCCTGTCTCCAGGGACCTAACATCCTATTGGCAGGAGGGGGTGACAGAAGGTAAACAAATAAACAAGTCTGTAACGTCAGGCAATAATAAGTGTCATGCGGAAAAATGAAGCACGGAATGAAGGAATTCTACTTTACAGAAGGTTGGATAGCACACCTCTGAATATCTGGGGAAACCATTCCAAGACAATGGAAAGACTAGTGCAAAGGCCCTGGAGTGAGAGTATTCTTGGTGTATTCAAGGAACAGGGAAAAGACTAAGAGGATCCAGTGAGGGAGGGGGATAGGGTAGGATATAATGCCGGAGAGATATCAGGGGCTAGATCATGCAGCCCCCGGGAACCATTGGGAGGGCTCTGGGAGATTTGGGGAGTTGTTGTTGTTGTTGTTGTTGTTTGGTTTGGTTTGGTTTGAGACTGTGTTTTGCTCTTGTCGCCCAGGCTGGAGTGCAATGGTGCAATCTCGGCTCACTGCAATCTCTGCCTCCCAGGTTCAAGCAGTTCTCCTGCCTCAGCCTCCTGAAGGAATACGGCGTGCGCCACCACACCCGGATAATTTTTTTTGTATTATAATTATTAGAGATGGGATTTCACCATGTTAGCCAGGCTGGTCTTGAACTCCTGGCCTCAGGTGATCTGCCCGCCTCAGCCTCCCAAAGTGCTGAGATTACAGGCATGAGCCACTGTACCTGGCCGGATTTGGGAAGTTTTTTAATATTATGTCATAGGGACAGGGTCTTGCCATGTTTCCCAGACTGGTCTTGAACTCCTGGACTCAAGCGATCCTCCCACCTCAGCCTCCCAAAGTGCTGGGATTACAGGCACGAGTCACCACACCTTTGGTTGGACTTTGGTTTTTACTCAGAGTGAGATGGAGTATGGGAAAGTTTTGAGCTGAGAAGTGACCTGACCTAATTTATGCTTTAAGTGGATAATTCTGGCTTCTAGACTGAGAGTAGACAGTAAAGGGGAAGCATCAGCATGGGTGGAGAACATGTGGAAGGCTAGCACAGTGATCCCAGTAAGAGACGACTGAAGGCTGGACCAGCAGCCCCAGTGGGCGTGGTGGGAAGGGTCAGGTTTCTGATCTATTTAACAGGTTGAGTGGATCTCCAGCGGCCAGTGATTTAATGAATTATGCCTGTGAAGTGAAACCTCCGAGAAAACCCCACAGTCTTGTTTGTTTGGGGTTTGGAGAGCTTCCAGGTTAGTGAAGCAGGGAGGGGCAGGGAGAGTAGGGTGCCCGGGAGGGCAAGGAAGCGCTGTGCCCCTCCCCCACCCACACCTTGACCTCGGCATCTCTTCCGTTGGGCTATTCCTGAGTCGTATCCTCCATCATGAACCGATAATAATAAATAAAGTGCTTTTCTCAGTCCTGTGAGTCATTTCAGCAAATTATTGAACCTGCCGGGGACTGTGGGAACCCTTGAATTTGTCACCAAGTCAGACAGAGATGCCAGTGGTCTGGGCACCCCATTTGCAACTGGCATCTGATATGAGGCCAGCTCTTCACTGAAACCCTAAACCTGTGAGGTTTGATGCCAACTCCAGGCAGTCAGTGTCAGAATTGCACTGTAGGACACCAGTTGGTGTCTAGAGAGTTGGTGCCAGAACTGGCTGGTGTGAGGAGGAAAAAAAGCCCACACAGCCCTCCTCCAGGCCATTCCTCCCGCTACATGGAGTCTCACGGTCCTTCACGGAGTGCTCAGAGCCTCCCGATCATCCCACTTTTAGCACAGCACTTTTCCACTTCTGGTCAATCTGATATTAGAATGTCCTACAATGTGCTTATTAGCCATTTTTTAAAACTAACATTTATAAAATTTATTTAGGCCAGGCACGGAGGCTCACACCTGTAATCCCAACATTTCGGGAGGCCGAAGTGGGCGGATCACCTCGGATCAGACTGGCTAACATGGTGAAACCCCATCTCTACTAAAAATACAAAACAATTAGCCAGGCGTGGTGGTGAGTGACTGTAATCCCAACTGCCCAGGAAGCTGGGCTGATGCAGGAGAATCGCTGGAACCCAGGAGGTGGAGGGAGCTTGCAGTGAGCCGAGATCTTGCCACTGCACTCCAGCCTGGGAAAGAGAGAGAGACTCTAAGACCTTTTGCTGAATTGAAGCCTCTTGGTAAACCTATGATGTCCCATTTAATAGATGGGCAAACTGAGGCTCAAAGAAATAAATCAGGCACATAAGGAGTCCTTGTCCAAGCAAGCCGTGGGTTGAAGCCTGGGCTCTGCCAGTCCAAGTGAAACCAAAGCATCTCCAGAAATTCCTGGTGGTGTGTTACATCAGCAAATGAGTAGGCAATGTCATTCCTCAACCTGAAGTCATTGGCATCTTGCAGATTCCACGAAAGAGGAAGTCTGCCCCTGGCTCCCCGAGGCCTGCTTGCAGGAATGAGGAAGGGGCTGTTCTGCTTTCAGGTGGAAATGTTCACCAGCTAAGTGCTGGGCTGCCCAGAAGGCAAACAGCCCCCTGGGCCTGGGACACATGCTTTAGTGCCCCTGGTAGCATGGCAGGACATGCAGTGCAACTCAAGAAGCTCCCAAAACCATGAGAGGCTGGGAAAAATGCTCCCTGGCCCAGTTCTAATGTTTCCCAATAAGGAGCTGCCCGGGCAGACACAGGGGGCCCCACCCATCCTGAGAGGCTGGGCCTGGGCTGCAGACACAACTGCTCGGAGAGTCTGCATCCTGGCTCTGCAGACAGGCTCTAGATGATGGGCTGGCGGAGTGCCCATGTGGAGGTGCACACACCGTGTTTAGTATGGGCCTGTACCTGCTGCAGCGTCAGCTGGTCTGGGCCTGTGCTCCTGGTCCGCCTATAGATGCCATGTGGCCCATCTGAATCTGTGACTCTGAGTCTGGCCTACCCAGGCCTGGTTTGATCCTACCCCCTGGCCACGCCCCTTGTGGGTTTCCTCTGGGTGACGTTTCCTTCCTGCTCTTGTTGACTAGGCGCTGTTCTTGCTGGCTGGTGCCCCAGGGCCTGGAGAGGTCTGAAGAAACCTGGGAGCCAGCAGCCCGGGGCTCCACTCTGGGTTCTGAAAGCCCATTCCCTGCTCTGCGGCTCCTCCCACCCCACCTCTTCTCAGCCTTGCAGCTCAAGGGTTGATCTCAGGAGTCCAGGACCCAGGAGAGGGAAGAATCTGAGGAACACAGAACAGTGAGCGTTGCCCACACCCCATCTCCCGTCACCACATCTCCCCTCACCCTCACCCTCCCTGCCTGGCCCTGGACCCCATCCCAGGACCTCCCTATCAGCTGACTTCTTCCAGTGTCTTGCAGGCCCCTCTGGGCTCCTCCCTCCCCTGGCTTTTCCTACCACTCCCCCTCTATCGGCGTCTATCTGTAGGTGCCCTGGGATTTATAAAACTGGGTTCCGAATGCTGAATAAGAGACGGTAAGAGCCAAGGCAAAGGACAGCACTGTTCTCTGCCTGCCTGATACCCTCACCACCTGGGAACATCCCCCAGACACCCTCTTAACTCCGGGACAGAGATGGCTGGCGGAGCCTGGGGCCGCCTGGCCTGTTACTTGGAGTTCCTGAAGAAGGAGGAGCTGAAGGAGTTCCAGCTTCTGCTCGCCAATAAAGCGCACTCCAGGAGCTCTTCGGGTGAGACACCCGCTCAGCCAGAGAAGACGAGTGGCATGGAGGTGGCCTCGTACCTGGTGGCTCAGTATGGGGAGCAGCGGGCCTGGGACCTAGCCCTCCATACCTGGGAGCAGATGGGGCTGAGGTCACTGTGCGCCCAAGCCCAGGAAGGGGCAGGTGAGTGGACAGAGGACCCCACTGCCCGCGGGACATCCCCTGGCCCTCATGCCTGCCCTGCCCTCTTGGGACCCCACCACTGAGCCCTCCCTGCCAGGCCTTCCTCTGAGCAGTGACATGGAACTGCCCTCTCAAAGGGGGATCCAGGCCCCAGACTATGCTGGAGCCAGGAGGCTTGCTGGGGGGGCCCTTGCTGCACCTCAGAGCCCCACACCCTCTTCTATTCAAGTGCATTCCCGGTACTCGCCTGGCATTGTAGTTATGAGCACGGACTTGGGAGTCAGGCACTATCACCAGTCCTGGCACTATCACCCTGGGCCAATCACTTCACTGCTCTCTGCCTATTTCTCTGTCTGCAAAATGGGAGAGTGAGAGCCCGCCTCCCTGGGCTGTGTGAGGGTTAAAAGAGATCATCCAGGTTAAACATTTAGCACAGAGTCTGATATACAGTAAGTGCTCAATAAATAAGATCTCCCATTGCTGTTGTTGCTGCTGCTGCTGCTGCTGTTATTATTACTATTAGCCACCCTGGGTTGCAGATGCCGTTGGCCCAATAAAGCACAGCTGAGGCTCAGTAGGAGTAGTGATTTACACAGGGAGATAGTCAGGACCAAGACAGATATGCAAATTTCCTGATCCTAGATGAGGATTTTTTGCCTAGCAGTATCTATAAGAACATCATTCTTCAGACAAGCCTCTAGAGGAAGTTGTAGAGGGCTGCAGCGGGTTCACTGGTGTATCCTGACCTCTCTTGGTTGAGAGAGGAGACCAGCTCAGTTCCCTGGCACCTTGCCCCTGCCCCTCTGATGTGTCTCCAACCTCTTTGTCTCTTTCCTGTAGGCCACTCTCCCTCATTCCCCTACAGCCCAAGTGAACCCCACCTGGGGTCTCCCAGCCAACCCACCTCCACCGCAGTGCTAATGCCCTGGATCCATGAATTGCCGGCGGGGTGCACCCAGGGCTCAGAGAGAAGGGTTTTGAGACAGCTGCCTGACACATCTGGACGCCGCTGGAGAGGTGAGGCTTGCTGAGGCAGGCTGACAGCCCTGGGTGGAGCTGTGAATCAGCTGGTGGGCCCCACCCAGAGGATCATGTCTGTGCATGGGGACCTGACATGGGGGACAGCAGAGGAAGGATAGGGGAGCCAGGATGGGCTGTGAGAGGTAGGCCTGAAATTGATCTTTCAGGGACCTTCCGGTGCTGAGATTGCATCCCTCCCCATGTGGCAGATGGGGAAGCTGAGACCCATGTGGGTCAGGCAATGAGTCTTCCCCAACTGGGTGCCCAACTCGTGACATGGTCCTTGCCCGAGAACTCAGCTCATAATATTGATGGGCTCTGAAGATCCTTAGGGTCAGGGTGGTCCAGAAGTTCCAAGGAGGACTCTGTTTTCCAGACAGACCCCAAGAAGAGGCTAGGCTTAGTCCTCGGCCCAAGCCAGCTCCCTCACATGACTTCTCTCTTCACTACTAAGAGAATAAAATTGCCCCTCTACTTCAACATGGTTTTCAAAATAATATTATTAAGACCCATCTCTCAGGACTGTTGTGAGAGTTTAAAATATATGCACCTAAAAGAAAATAAATGTTCAGTAAATGGTTATTTTTCTTTTCATTCCCCCCAGAAATCTCTGCCTCACTCCTCTACCAAGCTCTTCCAAGCTCCCCAGACCATGAGTCTCCAAGCCAGGAGTCACCCAACGCCCCCACATCCACAGCAGTGCTGGGGAGCTGGGGATCCCCACCTCAGCCCAGCCTAGCACCCAGAGAGCAGGAGGCTCCTGGGACCCAATGGCCTCTGGATGAAACGTCAGGAATTTACTACACAGGTGAGACCCTACTGAGCTCCTGGCGGGGTGGTGAGGTGGGAGAGGCAAATGTATGGACAAAGAGTCCCCTGGGGACCAGGTTGGCAGGCTAAGCAGAGGTTCTGGAAAACATCTGAAATTTCCCTCAGGAAATCCCACCCTTGGAGCCTCTCCACTGGTCCAAGGCACTGTTTCCAGGAGGCACCTGGACATTAAAATACAGATGTGTTACCCAGCACATCTGGGGGACAACAGAGCAAGGAGAGGGGAGCCTGGATGGGGTTACACATCACCTGGTTTACTGGACAGGGCACTGGCCTGGGGTCAGGAGAGCTGGGTTCAATTTCCACTGAGCTCCTCACCCCACAAGTGGCCTACAGCTAGTCCCATGCCCATCAGTGCTCACTGGACACTCTCTGGGTTAGACCATGTCCAGGGCTTTACGTGTACATTGGACTTAAATTTTACAACCACTCCGTGAGATAAATATTGCTATTATCATACCCTGGAGATGAGAAAACCAAGGATTAAAAAGATAGTCTCACAGTTAGTACTAGCAAAGATGGAATTCAGCCTTCACTCTCTCTCACGCAGCAATCCACACTTTTAACTCTTACACAGGGAGTGCCCTCATCTGGGCAATAAGGACAGTCATACTAAAGCCACAGGTACAGAGGCTCCTGATGCCACAGGTTCCTTAACCACTGAACCATGCTGCCTCTCAATGCCGGAGGATGCCTCCTTTGAAATCTGAGAGGTTTTAAGTTAAAAGGATTTCTTCTGCACCCAGCAAGGAGTGAACTTGTAGATTTTGTGGTCGTATATGGCCTAGGCTCAAAGTATATCAGTTTACTTAATTACTCACACCACTTGCCATTCAAAAAAAGAAGCCATGTAACAAACCTGCACATATACCGCGTGAGTCTAAAATAAAAAATAAATAAACTCATGTTTTAAAAATCTTGATAGGGTATATAAGGAAAGATCAACATTCGAGTTAAACTAAGGAAAACAGAAAGTCAAGAAAGGAAGATTCTAATACTTTAAGTTGTTTCTTTCTATATTTGAGAATCACAAAGATAACTTTTTCTCAGAATTATTTTGTGAATTAAAAAATCCAAACAATAAAGACAATTAAAACTGAAAAACAGAAAAGAAGGAAGATAGGAAGAATATAAAGACATATCAGAGCCATCTATAGAAGCATAAAAATGCAGTAACTTTAAAAGTGAAAAAAACAAGTATGAAAACCACAAAGACTACCTCATTGCTATAAATAAAGTTTCCATCAATTGTGGGCATTCTAGCAACACTGGCAAAAGGGGAAATATAATGGGTTACACAATACCTGTTACTCAATAGAAAAGACCAATGCAAGGGAAATAACATTTTTCCCTGATTCTAAATTCTAAGGGAATTCTTCAAATAGGGAACTTAAAAAAAAAACAACAACAAACTTTTATTTTAGTTTCAGAAACACATGTGCAGGTTTGTTATATAGGTAAGTTATGTGTCACAAGTGTTTGGTGTACAGATTATCTTGTCGCCCAGGTAATAAGCATGGTACCTGTTAGGTTGGGTTTTTTGTTTGTTTTTGTTTTTGTTTTTTGTTTGTTGTTTTTTGTTTTTTGTTGTGTTTTGTTTTGAGACAGAGTCTTGCTCGGTCACCCAGGCTGGAGTGCAGTGGCGTGATCTCCACTCACTGCAAGCTCTGCCTCCCGGGTTCACGCCATTCTCCTGCCTCAGCCTCCCGAGTCGCTGGGACTACAGGTGCCCGCCACGAAGCCCTGCTAATTTTTTGTATTTTTAGTAGAGATGGGGTTTCACCATGTTAGTCAGGCTGGTCTCGAACTCCTGATCCGAGGTGATCCACCCACCTCAGCCACCCAAAGTGCTAGGATTACAGGTGTGAGCCACCGCGCCCGGCCCGGTAGTTTTTTAATCCTTACCCTTCTCCCACTCTTCACTCTCAAAAGGTCCCAGTGTCTATTGTTCCTTTTATGTGTCCATGTGTACGCAATGTTTACCTCTAACTTATGAATGAGAACATGCGGTATTTCATTGTCTGTTCCTGTGTTAGTTCACTTATAATGCTCTCCAACTCCATTCAAGTTGCTGCAAAGGCATGACCTCATTCATTTTTATGGCTGTGTAGTATTCCATGTGTAAATGTCCCACATTTTCTTTAGCAGTATGGTTGATTCCATACTGGTGCTATTGTGACTAGTGCTGCAATAAACATACATGTACATGCATCTTTATGGTAGAATGCTCTACATTCCTTTGGGTATATACCCAATAATGGGATTGCTAGATTGAATGATAGTTCAGAGTTCTTTGGCAAATCGCGAAATTCCTTTCCACAGTGGCTGAACTAATTTACATTCTTACCAGCAGTGTATAAGTGTTCCTGTTTCTCTGCAATCTCACCAATATCTGTTATTTTTTGACTTTTAAATTATAGCCATTCTGACTGGTGTAGAATAGTACCTCATTATGGGTTTGATTTGCATTTTTCTTTTTTTCCAGAGAAGGTCTCTTTTTTTATTCTATTCTGGCCTTCAACTGATGGAATGAGAGCCACCCACATCAGGGAGGGTGATCTTATTTTTTTTTTTTTTAATACTTTAAGTTCTAGGGTACATGTGCACAACATGCAGGTTTGTTACATGTGTATGCATGTGCCATGCTGGTGTGCTGCACCCATTAACTCATCATTTACATTAGGTATATCTCCTAATGCTATCCCTCCCCCCTCCTCCAACCCCACGACAGGCCCTGGTGTGTGATGTTGCCCTTCCTGTGTCCAGGTGTTCTCATTGTTCATTTCCCACCTATGAGTGAGAACATGCGGTGTTTGGTTGTTTGTCCCTGCGATAGTTTGCTGAGAATGATGGTTTCCAGCTTCATCCATTTCCCTACAAAGGACATGAACTCATCCTTTTTTATGGCTGCATAGTATTCCATGGTGTATATGTGCCACTTTTTCTTAATCCAGTCTATCATTGATGGACATTTGGGTTGGTTCCAAGTCTTTGCTATTGTAAATAGTGCCACAATAAACATACGTGTGCATGTGTCTTTATAGCAGCATGATTTATAATCCTTTGGGTATATACCCAGTAATGGGATGGCTGGGTCAAATGGTATTTCTAGTTCTAGATCCTTGAGGAATTGCCACACTGTCTTCCACAATGGTTGAACCAGTTTACAGTCCCACCAACAGTGTAAAAGTGTTCCTATTTCTCCACATCCTCTCCAGCACCTGTTGTTTCCTGACTTTTTAATATTCACCATTCTAACTTGTATGAGATGGTATCCCATTGTGGTTTTGATTTGCATTTCTCTAATGGCCAGTGATGATGAGCATTTTTTCATATGTCTGTTGGCTACATAAATGTCTTCTTTTGAGAAGTGTCTGTTCATATCCTTCACCCACTTTTTGATGGAGTTGTTTGTTTTTTTCTTGTAAATTTGTTTGAGTTCTTTGTAGATTCTGGATATTAGCCCTTTGTTAGATGAGTAGATTGCAAAAATTTTGTCCCATTCTGTAGGTTGCCTGTTCACTCTGATGGTAGTTTCTTTTGCTGTGCAGAAGCTCTTTAGTTTAATTAGATCTCATATGTCAATTTTGGCTTTTGTTGCCATTGCTTTGAATGTTTTAGACATGAAGTCCTTGCCCATGCCTATGTCCTGAATGGTATTGCCTAGGTTTTCTTCTAGGGTTTTTATGGTTTTAGGTCTGACATTTAAGTCTTTAATCCATCTTGAATTAATTTTTGTATAAGGTGTAAGGAAGGGATCCAGTTTCAGCTTTCTACATATGGCTAACCAGTTTTCCCAGCACCATTTATTAAATAGGGAATCCTTTCCCCATTTCTTGTTTTTGTCAGGTTTGTCAAAGATCAGATGGTTGTAGATGTGTGGTATTATTTCTGAGGGCTCTGTTCTGTTCCATTGGTCTATATCTCTGTTTTGGTACCAGTACCATGCTGTTTTGGTTACTGTAGCCTTGTAGTATAGTTTGAAGTCAGATAGCATGATGCCTCCAGCTTTGTTCTTTTGGCTTAGGATTGTCTTGGCAGTGCGGGCTCTTTTTTGGTTCCATATGAACTTTTAAGTCGTTTTTTCCAATTCTGTGAAGAAAGTCATTGGTAGCTTGATGGGGATGGCATTAAATCTATAAATTACCTTGGGCAGTATGGCCATTTTCATGATATTGATTCTTCCTATCCATGAGCATGGAATGTTCTTCCATTTGTTTGTGTCCTCTTTTATTTCATTGAGCAGTGGTTTGTAGTTCTCCTTGAAGAGGTCCTTCACATCCTTTGTAAGTTGGATTGCTAGGTATTTTATTCTCTTTGAAGCAATTGTGAATGCAAGTTCACTCAAGATTTGGTTCTCTGTCTGTTATTGGTGTGTAAGAATGCTTGTGACTTTTGCACATTGATTTTGTATCCTGAGACTTCGCTGAAGTTGCTTATCAGCTTAAGGAGATTTTGGGCTGAGACGATGGGGTTTTCTAAATATTCAGTCATGTCATCTGCAAACAGGGACAATTTGACTTCCTCTTTTCCTAATTGAATACGCTTTATTTCTTTCTCCTGCCTGATTGCCCTGGCCAGAACTTCCAACACTATGTTGAATAGGAGTGATGAGAGAGGGCATCCCTGTCTTGTGCCAGTTTTCAAAGGGAATGCTTGCAGTTTTTGCCCATTCAGTATGATATTGGCTGTCGGTTTGCCATAAATAGCTCTTATTATTTTGAGATACATCCCATCAATACCTAATTTATTGAGGGTTTTTAGCATGTAGGGCTGTTGAATTTTTTCAAAGGCCTTTTCTGCATCTATTGAGATAATCATGTGGTTTTTGTCTTTGGTTGTGTTTATATGCTGGATTGCATTTATTGATTTGCGTATGTTGAACCAGCCTTAGCATCCCAGGGATGAAGCCCACTTGATCATGCTGGATAAGCTTTTTGATGTGCTGCTGGATTCGGTTTGCCAGTATTTTATTGAGGATTTTTGCATCAATGTTCATCAGGGATATTGGTCTAAAATTCCTTTTTTTTTGTTGTGTCTCTGCCAGGCTTTGGTATCAGGATGATGCTTGCCTCGTAAAATGAGTTAGGGAGGATTCCTTCTTTTTCTATTGATTGGAATAGTTTCAGAAGGAATGGTACCAGCTCCTCCTTGTACGTCTGGTAGAATTTGGCTGTGAATCCGTCTGGATTGGTAGGCTATTAATTATTGCCTCAATTTCAGAGCCTGTTATTGGTCTATTCAGGGATTCAACTTCTTCCTGGTTTAGTCTTGGAAGGGTGTATGTGTCCAGGAATGTGTCCATTTCTTCTAGATTTTCTAGTTTATTTGTGTAGAGGTGTTTATAGTATTCTCTGATGGTAGTTTGTATTTCTGTAGGATCGGTGGTGATATCCCCTTTATCATTTCTTATTGCATCTATTTGATTCTTCTCTCTTTTCTTCTTTATTCGTCTTGCTAGCGGTCTATCAATTTTGTTGATCTTTTCAAAAAACCAGCTCCTGGATTCATTGATTTTTTGAAAGGTTTTTTGTGTCTCTGTCTCCTTCAGTTCTGCTCTGATCTTAGTTATTTCTTGCCTTCTGCTAGCTTTTGAATGTGTTTGCTCTTGCTTTTCTAGTTCTTTCTATTGTGATGTTAGGGTGTCAATTTTAGATCTTTCCTGCTTTCTCTTGTGGGCATTTAGTGCTATAAATTTCCCTCTACACACAGCTTTAAATGTGTCCCAGAGATTCTGGTATGTTGTGTCTTTGTTCTCATTGGTTTCAAAGAACATCTTTATTTCTGCCTTCATTTCGTTATGTACCCAGTAGTCATTCAGGAGCAGGTTGTTCAGTTTCCATGTAGTTGAGCGGTTTTGAGTGAGTTTCTTAATCCTGAGTTCTAGTTTGATTGCACTGAATGGTCTGAGAGACAGTTTGTTATAATTTCTGTCCTTTTACATTTGCTGAGGAGTGCTTTACTTCCAACTATGTGGTCAATTTTGGAATAAGCGCAATGTGTGCTGAGAAGAATATATATTCTGTTGATTTGGGGTGGAGAGTTCTGTAGATGTCTATTAGGTCCCTTGGTGCAGAGCTGAGTTCAATTCCTGGATATCCTTTTTAACTTTCTGTCTCGTTGATCTGTCTAATGTTGACAGGGGGGTGTTAAAGTCTCCCATTATTATTGTGTGGGAGTCTTAAGTCTCTTTGTAGGTCTCTAAGGTCTTGCTTTATGAATCTGGGTGATCCTGTATTGGGTGCATATATATTTAGGATAGTTAGCTCTTCTTGTTGAATTGATCCCTTTACCATTATGTAATGGCCTTCTTTGTCTCTTTTAGTCTTTGTTGGTTTAAAGTCTGTTTTATCAGAGACTAGGATTGCAACCCCTGCCTTTTTTTGTTTTCCATTTGCTTGGTAGATCTTCCTCCATCCCTTTATTTTGAGCCTATGTGTGTCTTTGCACGTGAGATGGGTTTCCTGAATACAGCACACTGATGGGTCTTGACTCTTTATCCCATTTCCCTGTCTGTGTCTTTTAATCGGAGCATTTAGCCCATTTACATTTAAGGTTAATATTGTTATGTGTGAATTTGATCCTGTCATTATGATGTTAGCTGGTTATTTTGCTCATGAGTTGATGCAGTTTCTTCCTAGCATTGGTGGTCTTTACAGTTTGGCATGTTTTTGCAGTGGCTGATACCGGTTGTTCCTTTCCATGTTTAGTGCTTCCTTCAGGAACTCTTTTAGGGCAGGCCTGGTGGTGACAAAATCTCTCAGCATTTGCTTGTCTGTAAAGGATTTTATTTCTCCTTCACTTATGAAGCTTAGTTTGGCTGGATATGAAATTCTGGGTTGAAAATTCTTTTCTTTAAGAAAGTTGAATATTGCCAGGCGTGGTGGCTCACACCTGTAATCCCAGCATTTTGGGAGGCCGAGATGGGCAGACCATGAGGTCAGGAGATCGAGACCGTCCTGGCTAACATGGTGAAACCCCATCTCTACTAAAAAATACAAAAAAAATTAGCCGGGCGTGATGGCGGGCACCTATAGTCCCAGCTGCTCAGGAGGCTAAGGCAGGAGAATGGCATGAACCTGGGAGGCGGAGCTTGCAGTGAGCCGAGGTTATGCCACTGCACTCCAGCCTGGGTGACAGAGCGAGACTCCATCTCAAAAAAAAAAAAAAAAAAAGAATGTTGAATATTGGCCCCCACTCTCTTCTGGCTTGTAGAGTTTCTGCCGAGAGATCCACTGTTAGTCTGATGGGCTTCCCTTTGTGGGTAACCCGACCTTTCTCTCTGGCTGCCCTTAACATTTTTTCCTTCATTTCAGCTTTGGTGAATCTGACAATTATGTGTCTTGGAGTTGCTCTTCTTAAGGAGTATCTTTGTGGTGTTCTCTGTAGCTCCTGAATTTGAATGTTGGCCTGCCTTGCTAGGTTGGGGAAGTTCTCCTGGATAATATCCTGCAGAATGATTTCCAACTTGGTTCCATTCTCCCCGTCACTTTCAGGTACACCAATCAGATGTAGATTTGGTCTTTTCACATAGTCCCATATTTCTTGGAGGCTTTGTTCGTTTCTTTTTACTCTTTTTTCTCTAAACTTCTCTTCTTCCTTCATTTCATTCATTTGGTCTTCAATCACTGATACCCTTTCTTCCAGTTGATCGAATTGGCTACTGAAGCTTGTGCATTCTTCACGTAGTTCTCGTGCCATGGTTTTCAGCTCCATCAGGTCATTTAAGGACTTCTCTACACTGGTTATTTTAGTTAGCCATTTGTCTAATCTTTTTTCAAGGTTTTTAGCTTCTTTGTGATGGATTCGAACTTCCTCCTTTAGCTCGGAGAAGTTTGATCTTCTGAAGCCTTCTTCTCTCAACTCATCAAAGTCATTCTCCGTCCAGCTTTGTTCCATTGCTGGCGAGGAGCTATGTTCCTTTGGAGGGGGAGAGGCGCTCTGATTTTTAGAATTTTCAGCTTTTCTGGTCAGTTTTTTCCCCATCTTTGTGGTTTTATCTACCTTTGGTCTTTGACATAAAGATGGGGTTTTGGTGTGGATGTCCTTTATGTTTGTTAGTTTTCCTTCTAACAGTCAGGACCCTCAGCTGCAGGTCTGTTGGAGTTTGCTGGAGGTCCACTCCAGACCTTGTTTGCCTGGGTATCAGCAGCAGAGGCTGAAGAACAGCGAATATTGCTAAACAGCAAATGTTGCTGCCTGATCCTTCCTCTGGAAGCTTCGTCTCAGAGAGGTAGACGGCTGTGTGAGGTGTCAGTCTGCCCCTACTTGGGGGTGCTTCCCAGTTAGGCTACTCGGGGGTCAGGGACCCACCTGAGGAGGCAGTCTGTCTGTTCTCAGATCTCAAACTCCATGCTGGGAGAACCGCTGCTCTCTTCAAAGCTGTCAAACAGGGACATTTAAGTCTGCAGAGGTTTCTGCTGCCTTTTGTTTGGCTATGCCCTGCCCCCAGAGGTGGAGTCTACAGAGGCAGGCAGGCCTCCTTGAGCTGCGGTGGGCTCCACCCAGTTCAAGCTTCCCAGCTGCTTTGTTTACCTACTCAAGCCTCAGCAATGGTGGGCACCCCTCCCCCCGCCTCACTGCCGCCTTGCTGTTCAATCTCAGACTGCTGGCTAGCAATAAGTGAGGCTCCGTGGGTACAGGACCCTCTGAGCCAGGCACGGGATATAATCTCCTGGTGTGCCGTTTGCAAAGACCGTTGGAAAAGTGCAGTATTAGGGTGGGAGTGACCCAATTTTCCAGGTGCCATCTGTCACAGCTTCCCTTGGCTAGGAAAGGGAATTCCCTGACCCCTTGCACTTCCCAGGTGAGGCAATGCCTCGCCCTGCTTTGGCTTATGCTCGGTGGGCTGCACCCACTGTCCTGCACCCACTGTCTGACAAGCCCCAGTGAGATGAACCTGGTACCTCAGTTGGAAATACAGAAATCACCTGTCTTCTGCGCTGCTCACCCTGGGAGTTGTAGACCGGAGCTGTTCCTATTCGGCCATCTTGGAACCACCCCAATTTGCATTTTGCTAATAATAAGTGATGTTGAGCATTTTTTCATATGCTGTTGGCCATGTGTATGTCTTCTTTTGAAGAGTCTATTGGTGTCCTTTGTCCACTTTTTTTTTTTTTTTTTTCTGAGACAAAGTATCACACTGTCATCCAAGCTGGAATGCAGTGGTGAGATCTCTGCTCATTGCAACCTCCACCTCACGGGCTCAAGGGATTCTCCTGCCTCACCCTCCCAAGTAGCTGGGATTACAGGTGTGCACCACTACGCCCAGCTAATTTTTGTATTTTTTAGTAGAGATGGTCTGTTGGCCAGGCTGGTCTCGAATTCCTCACCTCAAGTGATCTGTCCACCTCAGTCCCCAAAGTGGTAGGATTACAGGCATGAGCCACCATGCCTGGCCATTTGTCCACTTTTTAATGGGATTGTTTTTGGCTTATTAATGTGTTTAAGTTCCTTATAGATTCTGGATATTCCAACTTTGTCAGATGGGTAGTTTGCAAATATTTTCTCCCATTCTGTGGGTTGTCTATTTACTTTGTGGGTAGTTTCTTTTGCTGTGCAGAAGTTCTCTAGTTTAATTAGGTCCCATTTGTCAATTTTTGTTTTCATTGCAATTGTTTTTGGCATCTTCCTCATGAAATTTTTGCCAGGACCTATGTTCAGAATAGTATTTCCTAAGTTTTCTTCAAGGGTTTTTAAAGTTCTAGGTTTTACGTTTAAGACTTTCATCCATCTTCCATTGATCTTTGTATATAGTATCAGGAAGGGGTCCAGTTTCAGTCTTCTGCATATGGCTAGCCAGTTATCTCAGCATCACGTATTGAATAGGGAATGCTTTCCCCATTGCTTGTTTTTGTCAACATTATCAAAGATCAGATGGTTGTAGATATACAGCTTTATTTCTGGGCATTTTATTCTGTTCCATTGGTCTATGTGTCTGTTTTTGTACCAGTAGCATGCCGTTTTGGTTACTGTTGCCTTGTAGTATAGTTTAAAAATAGGTAATGTGATGCCTCCAGATTTGTTATTTTTTACTTAGAATTGCTTTGGCTATTTGGGCTGTTTTTTGGTTCCATATTAATTTTAGAATTTCTTTCTCATTATGTGAAGAATGTCATTGGTTGCTTGCTAGGAATAGCATTGAATCTGTAAATTGCTTGGAGTAGTATGGCGATTTTAACAATATTGATTATTCCTATTCATGAGCATGGAATGTTTTCCATTTGTGTGTGTATCATCTCTGATTTCTTTCAGCAGTGTTTTGTAGTTCTTGCTATAGAGATCTTTCACAATCCTGGTTAGATGTATTCCTAGGTACTTTTTTGTGGCTATTGTGAATGGGATTGCATTCTTGATTTGGTGCTTATTGCACAATGTTACATAATACTTACTACCCAATAGAAGAAATTGATTTTGTATCCTGAAACTTTGCTGAAGTTGTTTATTAGATCTAGCAGATTTGGGACAGAGACTAGGAGGTTTTCTAGGTATAAAATCATAACATCTGCAAACAGAGATACTTTGACTTCCTCTCCTCCTATTTGGATGTCTTTTACTTCTTTCTCTTACCTGATTGCTCTGGGTAGGACTTCTAGTACTATGTTGAATAGATGGTGAGAATGAGCATCCTTGTCTTGTTCTGGTTCTCAAGGAGAATACTTCCAGCTTTTGCCCATTCAGTGTGATGTTGGCTGTGGTTTTGTCATAAATGGCCCTTATTATTTTGAGGTATGCTCCTTCAATGTCTAGTTTGTTGAGAGTTTTAACATTGAAGGATGTTGAATTTTATCAAATGCTTTTTCTGCATCTATTGAGATGATCATGTGGGGGCTTTTTTACTTCTATTTATGTGATAGATCACATTTATTGATTTGCATATGTTGAATCAAACATGCATCCCAGAGATAAAACCTATCTGGTTGTGGTGAATTCGCTTTTTGACGTGCTGCTGGATTCAGTTTGCTAGTATTTTGCTGAAGATTTTTGCAGCTATGTTCATCACAGATATTGTCCTTAAGTTTTCTTCTTTTGTTGTGTCTCTGCCAGGTTTCGGTATCAGAATGATACCAAACTCATAGAATGATACCTAACTCATAGAATGAGTTAGAGAGGAGTCCCCTCCTCCTCAATTTTTTGGAATAGTTTCAGTAGAAATTGTACGAGCTCTTCTTTATGTGTCTGGTAGAATTCAGCTGTGAATCTCTCTGGTCCTGGCCTTTTTCTGGTTGTTAGAATTTTTATTACTGATTCAATTTTAGAACTCGTTATTGCTCTGTTCAGAGTTTTAATTTCTTCCTGGTTCAGTCCTAGGAATTTATTTCTTGTAGGTTTTTCTAGTTTCTGTATATAGAGGTGTTCGTAATAGTCTCTGAGGGTTTTTTATATTTCCACGGGGTCAATGGTAATGTCCTCTTTGTCATTTCTGGTTGTGTTTATTTGGATCTTCTGTCTTTTTTTTTTCTTTATTAGTCTAGCTAGTGGTCTATCGATCTTATTTATTCTTCCAAAGAATGAACTTTTGGTTTTGTTGATCTTTTGTATGGTTTTTTCCATCTCAATTTTATTCAGTTCAGCTCTGATTTTGGTTATTTCTTGTCTTCTGCTAGCTTTGGGATTGATCTTGCTCTTGTTTTTCTAATTCTTCTATTTGTGATGTTAGGTTGCTAATTTGAGATTTTTCTAACTTTTTGATATGGGCATTTACTGCTATAAACTTTCCACTGCTTTATCTGTGTCCCAGAGAATTGGCATATTGTATCTTTGTTCTAATTGGTTTCAAAGAATTTCTTTATTTCTGCCTTAATTTCATTGTTTACCCAAAAGCCACTCAGGAGCAGGTTGTTTAATTTCCATGAATTGTATGGTTCTGAGCTATCTTCTTAGTATTGATTTTTTTTAATTGTGCAGTGGTCCAAGAGTGTGGCTGGTATGATTTGGGTTTTTTAAAATTTGCTGAGAACTTTTTATGGCAGATTGTGTGGTTGATTTTACAGTATATGCCATGTGCAAATGAGAAGAATATATATTCTGTTGTTTGGGGTGGAGAGTTCTGTAGATGTCTCTTAGGCCCATTTGGTCAAGTGTCGAATTTAGGTCCCAAATATCTTTGTTAGTATTCTGCCTTGATGATCTGTTCAATACTGTCAGTGGGTGAAGTCTCCCATTATTACTATATGGTTATCTAAGTCTCTTCATCAGTCTCTAAGAACTCGTCTTATGAATCTGGGTGCTCCTGTATTGGATGCATATATATTCCTGACAGTTAAGTCTTCTTGTTGAATTGAACCCTTTATTATTATGTGATGCCTTTCTTTGTCTTTTTTGATTGATGTTGATTTGAAGTCTGTTTTGTGTGAAATTAGAATGGCAATCCGTGCTTTTGTTTGTTTTCCATTTGCTTGGTAGATTTTTCCCCATCCCTTTACTTTGAGCCTATGAATGTCATTGCATGTGAGATGGATCTCTTGAAGACAGTATCCAGTTGGGCCATGCTTCTTTATTGAACTTGCCACTCTGTGCCTTTTAATGGGAGCATTTAGCCCATTTACATTTGGATTAATATCGATATGTGTGAGTTTAATCCTGTCATCATGTTGTTAGCTGATTATTTTGCAGACTTGATTTTGTAGTTGCTTGATAGTATCAGTGGACTGTGTACTTTAGTGTGTTTTATGGTGGCCAGTGATGGTCTTTTGTTTCCATATTTAGCACTCCCTTAAGAACCTCTTGTAAGGCAGGTCTGGTGGTAATAAATTCCCTTAGCATTTGCTTGTCTGAAAAGGATCTTATTTCTCCTTCGCTTATAAGGCTTAGTTTGGCTGTATATGAAATTCTTGGTTGGAGCACAGTCATAGTGGTAGGTGGCCACGGGGGTGCTTGTGTCACTTTCTAATGAGGTTAAAGGTGGCTTTAGGTGGCTTAGAAGAGACAGAGACTGTATGTTTGGCAGAAAGTAAGGAAAGAGAACAAGAGTCTCTGCCTGGTAACCTAGATAATTCAACCAGATTTTGTCTAAGACTATTAAGGTGGTACCTCTATGACTGTGCAAGAACCACAGCATTACTGGGCTTAGGGTGCCCTCTAAAGCAGAAATGCCTTAGATCACAAAACTCAAGTCCTTTCAAATCTGGAAAGCCTTTCCAAAAAGGCTGCCTATAAATAAGCCTGGACAGTGAAGACTACAATAAATGCTCAACTCTTCAATGCCCAGACACTGAAGAACATCTACTAGCATTAACACCATCCAGGAAAACATGACCTCACCATAAGGCATCAGGGACCAATTCTGGAGAAAGAGAGATATGTGACCTTTCAGACAGAATTCAAAATAGCTGTGTTGAGGAAATTCAAAGAAACTCAAGATAACACAGAGAAGGAATTCAGAATTCTAGCAGATAAATGTAATAAAGAGATTGAAATAATTAAAAATAATCAAACAGAAATTCTGGAGCTGAAAAAATTCAATTTGCATACTGAAGAATGCATCAGAGTCCTTTCATAGCAGAATGGATCCAGCAGAAGAAAGAATTAGTGAGCTTGAAGACAGGCTATAATTGAAAATACACAGAAGGGACAAAAGAAAAAAGAATAAAAAAAACAATGAAACACACCTGCAGGATCTAGAAAATAGCCTCAAAATGGCAAATCTAAGAGTTATTGGCCTTAAGGAGGAGGTAGTGAAAGAAATAGGAGTAGAAGTTTTATTCAAAGGGATAAGAGAAAATTTCCCAAACCTAGGGAAAGATATCCAAGTACAAGAAGGTTTTAGAACACCGAGTAGATTTAACCCAAAGTAGACTACCTCAAGGCATTTAATAATCAAACTCCCAAAGGTCAAGGATAAAGAAAGGATTTTAAAAGCAGCAAGAGAAAAGAAACAAGTAACATACTATGGAGTTCCAATACATCTGGCCGCAGACTTTTCATGGAAACCTTACAGGCCAGGAGAGAGTGGCATGACATATTTAAAGTTCTGAAGGAAAGAAAACTTTTACCCTAAATAGTATATCTGGTGAAAATATCTTTCAAACATGAAGGAGAAATAAAGATTTTCCCAAACAAAAGCTGAAGGATTTCATCAATACCAAACCCATCCTACAAGAAATGCTAAAAGGAGTACTTCAATCAGAAAGAGAAGAACATTAATGAGCAATCATCACCTGAAGGTAAGAAACTTACTCATAATAGTAAGTACACCGAAAAACACAGAATATTTTTACACTGTAACTGTGGTGTATAACCTCTCTTACCCTAAGTAGACAGACTAGATGATGAACCAATCAAAAATAATAACTACAACAACTTTTCAAGACACAGTCAGTAAAATAATATATAAATAGAAACAACAAAAAGTTTAAAAAGCTGGGAAATGAAGTTAAGTTTTTATTAGTTTTCTTTCTGCCTGTTTGTTTATTTGTTTATCCAAATAGTGTTGTTATCAGATTAAAATAATAGATTATAAGATGGTATTTGCAAGCCTCATGGTAACCTCAAACCAAAAAACATAAAATGGATACACAAAAAATAAAAATCAAGAAACCAAATTATATCACCAGAGAAAATCATCTTCACTAGAGGAAGACAGGAATAAAAGAAAGAAGAGAAGATCACAAAACAAGCAGAAAACAAATAATAAAATGGCAAGAGTAAGTCCTTACTTATCAATAATAAGTAATGTAAATGGATTAAACTATCCAATCAAAAGACATAGACTGGCTGAATGAATGAAAAAACAAGAACCAATGATCTGTTCCCTACAAGAAACACATTTCACCTATAAAGACACACATAAACAGAAAATGAAGTGATGGAAAAATATATTACATGCCAGTGGAAAACAAAAAAGAGCAGAAGTCACTATACTTGTATCAGACAAAATAGATTTCAAAACAAAAACTATACAAAGAGAGACAAAGAAGGTCACTATATAATGATAATGGAGTCAATTCAGCAAGAGGATATAACAATTTTAAATATATATGCACCCAACACAGGAACACCCAGATATGTAAAGGAAATATTATTAGAGCTAAAGAGAGAGATAGGCCTCAATACAATAATAGCTGGAGACTTTAACACCCCACTTTTAGCATTGGACGTATCTTCCAGACAGAAAATCAGCAAAGAAACATGAAACTTAATCTGCATTACAGACCAAATGGATCTAATAGATATTTACAGAACATTCCATCCAAGAGCTGCAGAATACACATTCTTTTCCTCAGCACATGGATCATTCCCAAGGATACACCATATATTAGCTCACAAAACAAGTCTTAAAACATTCAAAAAATTGAAATAATATCAAGCATCTTCTCTGACCACAATGCAATAAAATTAGAAATTAATAATAAGAGGAATTTAGAAAACTACATAAATACATGAAAATTAAACAATATGCTCCTGAGTGACCAGTGGGTCAATGAAGAAATTAAGAACAAAATAAAGAAAGAAAAATTTCTTGAAACAAATGATCATGGAAACACAATATACCAAAACCTATGGGATATATTAAGAGAGAAGTTTATAGCTATAAGTGCCTATATCAAAAAAGAGGAAAAACTTCAAATAAACAATCTAATGATGCATCTTAAAGAGAGAAAAGCAGGAACAAACCAAACCCACTATTAGTAGATGAAAAGAAATAACAAAGATCAGAGCAGAAATAAATGAAATTAAAAAGAAAAAATACAAAAGATCAATGAAACAAAAAGTTGATTTTTTGAAAAGTTAAAATCGACAAACCTTTAGCCAAGCTAAGAAAAAAAGAGAGAAGATCTAAATAAATAAAATCAGAAATGAAAAAGGAAACATTTCAGCTGATACTGCAGAAATTCAAGGGATCATTAGTGGCTGCTATGAGCAATTATATGCCAATAAATTGGAAAATCTAGAAGAAATGGACAAATCTCTAGATACATACAGCCTACCAAGACTGAACTAGGAAGAAATCCAAAACCTAAACAGACCAATAACAAGTAACAACATGGAAGCCGTAATAAAAAGCCTTACAGTGAAGAAAAGCCAAGGACTGGATGGCTTCACTGCTGAAATTCTACCCAACATTTAAGAAGAACTAGTATCAGTCCTACTGAAACTACTCCGAAAAAATAGAGGAGGAAGGACTATTACCACACTCATTCTCTGAGGCCAGTATTACCTTAATACCAAAACCAGACAAAAACACATCAAAAAATTGACTAAAAACTTAAATCTAAGACCTCAAACTATGAAGCTACTACAAGAAAACATTGGGGAAAATCTCCAGGACATTGGTCTGCAAAGATTTCTTGAGCAATAACACACAAGCATAGGCAACCAAAGCAAACATGGACAAACAAGATCATGTCAAGTTAAAAAGCTTCTGCACAGTGAGGGATACAATAAACAAAGTGAAGAGACAACCCACAGAATGGGAGAAAGTATTTGCAAACTACCCTTCAGACAAGGGATTAATAACCAGAATATATAAGGAGCTCAAATGACTCTATAGGAAAAAATCTAAAATTCGATCAAAAAATAGTTAAAAGATTAGAATAGACGTTTCTCAGAAGAAGATATACAAATGGCAAACAGGCATATGAAAAGGCATTCAACATCACTGATAGTCAGAGAAATGCAAATGAAAACTGCAATATCACCTCACCCCAGCTAAAATGGCTTTTATCCAAAAGACAGGCAAGAACAAATTCTTGTGAGGGTGTGGAGAAAAGGAAACTCTCATACACTGTTGGTGGGAACGTAAATTAGTACAACCACTATGGAGAACAGTTTGGAGTTTCCTCAAAAAACTAAAAATTGGCTGGGCGCAGTGGCTCATGCCTGTAATCCCAGCACTTTGGGAGGCCGAGGTGGGCAGATCATGAGGTCAGGAGATTGAGACCATCCTGGCTAACACAGTGAAACCCCATCTCTACTAAAAACACAAAAAATTAGCCAGGTGCAGTGGCGGGCACCTGTAGTCCCAGCTACTCGGGAGGCTGAGGCAGCAGAATGGTGTGAACCCAGGAGGCGGAGCTTGCAGTGAGCCAAGATTGCGCCACTGCACTCCAGCCTGGGCAACAGAGCAAGACTCTGTCTAAAAAAAAAAAAAAAAAAAAAACACTAAAAATTGAGCAATCTCACTGCAGGGTATACATCCAAAAGAAAGGAAATCAGAATATCGAAGAGATACATGCACTTCTATGTTTGTGGCAGCACTGTTTATAATAGCCAAGATTGGAAGCAACCCAAGTGTCCATCAGCAGATGAACAGATATAGAAAACGTGGTGCATATACATACTATTCAGCCATCAAAGAGAATGAGTCCCAGTCATTTGCAACAAACATGGATGAAACTGGAGATTACGTTATGTGAAATAAGCCAGGCACAGGAAGACAAACATCACATGTTCTCACTTATTTGTGGGATCTAAAACTCAAATCAATTGAACTCATGGACATAGAGAGCAGAAGGATGGTTACCAGAAGCTGAGAAAAGTAGTGGGGGGCAAGAGGGAAAGGTGGGGATAGTTAGTGGGTACAAAAAAATAGAAAGAATGAATAAGACCCACTGTTTGATAGCACAATAGGGTGACTATAGTCAATAATAAATTAATTGTATACTTTTTAATAACAAAGAATATAGTTGGATTGTTTGTAACTCAAAGGTTAAATGTTTGAGGAGCTGCATACCCCATTCTCCATGATGTGCTTATTTTACAGTGCTTACTTGTATCAAACCATCTCATGGATCCCCATAAATACATACACCTACTACATATCCACAAAATTTTTAAAAAATAATTTTAAAATTTTAAAAAAGAAAAGAAATTATTGGCTGGAATTTCTTTTCTTTAAGGATGCTGAATATAGGCCCCCAATCTCTTCTGCCTTGCAGGGCTTCTGCTGAAAAGTTCACTGTTAGCCTGATGAGGTTCCCTTTTTAGGTGACCTGCCCCTTCTGTGTCTAGCTGCCTTTATTGTTTTTTCTTTCATGTTGGCCTTGGAGAATCTGAGGACTTGGGGAATCTGAGAACTATGTGTTTTAGGGATGATTGTCTTGTATAGTATCTCACAAGGATTCTTTGCATTTCCTGAATTTAAATGTTGGCTTCTCTAGGGAGGTTGGGGAAACTTTTGTGGACAATATCTTCAAATACGTTTTCCAAGTTGCTGGCTTTCTCATGCTCTTTCAGGGATGCCAGCGAGTCATAGATTTGGTCTCTTTCCAAAATCCCATATTCCTCAGAGGTGTTGTTCATTTGTTTTCATTCTTTTTTATTTTTGTCTGACTGAGTTAATTTGGAGAACCAGTCTTCAGGCTCTGAGATTCTTTCCTCAGCTTGGTCTATCCTGTTGTTAATACTTGCTATTGTATTATGAAATTCTTGTAGTGAGATTTCCAGCTCTATCAGATCAGTTTGGTTCTTTCCTAAAATGACCATTTCGTCTTTCAGCTCCTGTATCATTTTATCATATTCCTTAGATTGCTTGGACTGGATTTTGACTTTCTCCTGAATCTCAATGATCTTCATTCCTACTCATATTCTGAATTCTATGTCTGTCATTTCAGCCATTTCAGCCTGTTAAAATACCATTGCTGAGGCACTAGTGCACACATCTGGAGATAGGAAGACACTGTGGCTTTTTGAGTTACCAGAGCTCTTGAGCTGGTTCTTTCTCGTGTGTGTGGGCTGATGTTCCTTTAATCTTTGAAGTTGTCTTCCTTTGGATGGGGTTTTTTTTGTTTTGTTTTTATCTTGTTTGAAGCCCTTGGGGGTTTGATTGTCGTATAAGGTGGGTTCAGTCAACTGGCTTCGATTCTGGAAGATTTCAGGTGGCCAAGGCTCAGCTCAGCACTCCTGAGCTGCCTGCTCTAACTCTAGAAGGCTGGTACTGGGTCCCCAGCCTTTTCCTCTGGCCTCCTGGGGTTCAGAACCTGCTGCATTAGAGGGGCCAAGGTGTTCCCAGTCCGCTGGCCTCAACAGTCCAGTGGGGGTGCAGGCCAAAGTGCTTCCTTGTGGCAGTGCCAGCAGGATCTGTGCTCACTCACACATGGCACCAGCCACAGTGGCATGGCAGGGTGCGTGTGTGTTGGCTGGGGCAGGGCACTGGTGGGAGCCTTTGCCTTAGTTTTCATGGCACTGAATACTGCAAAACATTTTGGTGTTGTATTTTGGGGCCGCCATCCAGTAGGCAGTGCTTAAGAGTGATCACCAGGAGATACACTCTTACTCTGCTGCGTGGTTCTTCATGTTTCAGTACAGTTGGCAGTAGTGTTCTGTGTGTGTTGGGGACAGGGGGGTGACCTTCTCACTTAGTCCACTCCTGGGCCTTAGACAAGACCCTTCTGATTACTGGCTCCACACCTGCATTTCTTTTGTTGGGTGTTCTGGTAAACGGGGTTCCTTCAGGCAGGGGCCGTGGTTGGCAGACAGGCCGTATCCTTGCTGGGTCCGCCCTGCAGAGAGAGGCATACCTCCTCCACCTCACTCCTCCACCAGCCTACAAACTCGGACATCTCACCTCTGTCAGTGATAAGAGAATGAGGGCTCTTCCCTGCTTGGGCATTGTCCAAACCAGCAAGTCCTGCTCAGCTAGGATCTGCAGAAGTGGGTGGGGTCACGTAATCAGCTGTCTGGGTGCTTCCCAGAGGAACAGGGGATGGCACCCACCCACAGAGTAGCGGGACTGCTGGGCTGGAAGCTCTAGCAGGTGTGGCCCATCTGGCTACCACAGGCAGAGGTGGTTGGAGTCACCCACCCTGCCATCTGGGTGTTTCCCTGGGCAGTAACAGGAGGCTGCACCCCTCAGCCGGATTCAGACAGAATTAGGACCACTGCGCTGGAAGCTCTAGCAGACATGGCCTGCATGGCTAGGAGAGGCGGTGGTGGGTGGAGTCACCCACCCTGCCTTCAGAGTGTTTCTCGGGGAACCGGGAGTTTGCCTCTGCTGGCTGAGTTCAGACAGAAGCAGACTGCTAGCAGACATTGCCCGCCTGGCTACCAGTGGCAGGGATGGGCAGAGTCACCCCCTCTGCTGTCCAAGTGGGGAACCTGAACAAAATAATATCCCAAAGAACAGTTTCATGGCAAGTATAAAAACCACATGGGGCCGGGCGCGGTGGCTCACGCCTGTAATCCCAGCACTTTGGGAGGCCGAGGCGGGTGGATCATGAGGTCAGGAGATCGAGACCATCCTGGCTAACAAGGTGAAACCCCGTCTCTACTAAAAATACAAAAAATTAGCCGGGCGCGGTGGCGGGCGCCTGTAGTCCCAGCTACTCGGGAGGCTGAGGCAGGAGAATGGCGTGAACCCGGGAAGCGGAGCTTGCAGTGAGCTGAGATTGCGCCACTGCAGTCCGCAGTCCGGCCTGGGCGACAGAGCGAGACTCCGTCTCAAAAAAAAAAAAAAAAAAAAAAAAAAAACCACATGGCATGCTTTTTGATCTATCAAGAGCAAAGGTAGGAAAACTTGTTTGAGTAAAAGACAAGATAGTAGGCTGGGTGCAGTGGCCCATGCCTGTAATCCCAGCACTTTGGGAGGCTGAGGCGGGCAGATCACGTGAGGTCAGGAGTTTGAGACCAGCATGGCCAACATGGTGAAACCCCATCTCTACAAAAATACAAAAATTAGCTGGCGTGATGGCGGGTACTTATAATCCCAGCTACTCTGGGGGCTGAGGCAGGAGAATCGCTTGACCCTGGGAGGCGGAGGTTGCGGTGAGCCGAGATCGTGCCACTGCACTCCAGCCTGGGTGACAAGAGAGAAACTCTGCCTCAAAAAAATAAATAAAATAAAATGAAATTCACCTAAGGAGAGAAGGGAGAGGCACTGAACATATTGTGAAGAAAAGAACAGAAGAGGTTGTAACTGTTGTTCTATTTGGAATCTGACTAAGATAGGAGCCTGAGGTCCCTCCCTGGGAAACAATGGTGTATATAACCTCAGCTTCTCACAGGTCATGAGGTATCTTCCATCAGTCTCAGGTCGGGCTCGCCCGGAAGCCTGAGACCGGATTTGGTTGCAGGTGGCTTACTGGGGAGGTGATTTCTTGGACTCATCAACAAGAGAGAATGGTGAGGCGGGGAAACCCAGGAAAGGTAGATTATGGAACAGGTTACCTTGTGAGCAACTGAGGCTCCATGCTGCTGCGGTTGTCTGGGAGACGGTGAGAACATGCCTGAGTGTTATCTGTCCTGGGGGCAAGGGACCCCACCTGTCATCCACTAAGGGCACCTCCTGGACTGGAGAACTATCCTCCAGTATTTCTGGCCCACCCGGCTTACAGGCAGAGAAAGAGCCCTCAGACAGATGACCACAGCTGTTGCCGAGGGACACCATTGGCAGGTACTGCAATAGCAGGTGCTTGGGATGCTGTCAGCATCTGCTACACACTCCAGTGTCTCCTCCAGTCCTCCATGACCTACAACCCCCAGCTTACAGATGAGAAAACTGAGGCTCATAGGGGCTAATGGCCAGCATCATAAGCTTAGTGAGGACTGAGAGTTGTGTCTGTTTTGTTCACTCTTTATCCCCAACCCCTATAGCAGCACCTGGCACAGAGTAAGCCCTTGATAAATATTCAGTGAAGGAAAGTCATTCAGGGAGTGTGACTTAGTTGAGTCAAGACTTGAACTGGGATATTCTACCCCAAAGCACATGTCCTTCCGCCGCATGGCAAGAACATACCAGTGTCTGCAGACAGCGCAGTGTGTGGCTTGGAGTAGGTGCCTAAAACAGTTGTTTAATTAATTAATTAATTCTTCTATTCTCTACCTTTATGTTCCTTCTTTCCCTCCCTTACTTAGAAATCAGAGAAAGAGAGAGAGAGAAATCAGAGAAAGGCAGGCCCCCATGGGCAGCGGTGGTAGGAACGCCCCCACAGGCGCACACCAGCCTACAGCCCCACCACCACCCATGGGAGCCTTCTGTGAGAGAGAGCCTCTGTTCCACATGGCCCTGGAAAAATGAGGATTTTAACCAAAAATTCACACAGCTGCTACTTCTACAAAGACCTCACCCCAGAAGCCAAGATCCCCTGGTCAAGAGAAGCTGGCCTGATTATGTGGAGGAGAATCGAGGACATTTAATTGAGATCAGAGACTTATTTGGCCCAGGCCTGGATACCCAAGAACCTCGCATAGTCATACTGCAGGGGGCTGCTGGAATTGGGAAGTCAACACTGGCCAGGCAGGTGAAGGAAGCCTGGGGGAGAGGCCAGCTGTATGGGGACCGCTTCCAGCATGTCTTCTACTTCAGCTGCAGAGAGCTGGCCCAGTCCAAGGTGGTGAGTCTCGCTGAGCTCATCGGAAAAGATGGGACAGCCACTCCGGCTCCCATTAGACAGATCCTGTCTAGGCCAGAGCGGCTGCTCTTCATCCTCGATGGTGTAGATGAGCCAGGATGGGTCTTGCAGGAGCCGAGTTCTGAGCTCTGTCTGCACTGGAGCCAGCCACAGCCGGCGGATGCACTGCTGGGCAGTTTGCTGGGGAAAACTATACTTCCCGAGGCATCCTTCCTGATCACGGCTCGGACCACAGCTCTGCAGAACCTCATTCCTTCTTTGGAGCAGGCACGTTGGGTAGAGGTCCTGGGGTTCTCTGAGTCCAGCAGGAAGGAATATTTCTACAGATATTTCACAGATGAAAGGCAAGCAATTAGAGCCTTTAGGTTGGTCAAATCAAACAAAGAGCTCTGGGCCCTGTGTCTTGTGCCCTGGGTGTCCTGGCTGGCCTGCACTTGCCTGATGCAGCAGATGAAGCGGAAGGAAAAACTCACACTGACTTCCAAGACCACCACAACCCTCTGTCTACATTACCTTGCCCAGGCTCTCCAAGCTCAGCCATTGGGACCCCAGCTCAGAGACCTCTGCTCTCTGGCTGCTGAGGGCATCTGGCAAAAAAAGACCCTTTTCAGTCCAGATGACCTCAGGAAGCATGGGTTAGATGGGGCCATCATCTCCACCTTCTTGAAGATGGGTATTCTTCAAGAGCACCCCATCCCTCTGAGCTACAGCTTCATTCACCTCTGTTTCCAAGAGTTCTTTGCAGCAATGTCCTATGTCTTGGAGGATGAGAAGGGGAGAGGTAAACATTCTAATTGCATCATAGATTTGGAAAAGACGCTAGAAGCATATGGAATACATGGCCTGTTTGGGGCATCAACCACACGTTTCCTATTGGGCCTGTTAAGTGATGAGGGGGAGAGAGAGATGGAGAACATCTTTCACTGCCGGCTGTCTCAGGGGAGGAACCTGATGCAGTGGGTCCCGTCCCTGCAGCTGCTGCTGCAGCCACACTCTCTGGAGTCCCTCCACTGCTTGTACGAGACTCGGAACAAAACGTTCCTGACACAAGTGATGGCCCATTTCGAAGAAATGGGCATGTGTGTAGAAACAGACATGGAGCTCTTAGTGTGCACTTTCTGCATTAAATTCAGCCGCCACGTGAAGAAGCTTCAGCTGATTGAGGGCAGGCAGCACAGATCAACATGGAGCCCCACCATGGTAGTCCTGTGAGTACCCAAACCACCCATGTCTGCAGCTCCTCTGTCAGTCCATAAGCCCGAGTGACCTGAGCACCAGAGGCATGCTCACTGAGCCTGGCCGGGGGTGGGGGTGGCTAAAGGATCAGGGTCTCCAGTGACTTCTAACTGCCCAATCTGACCACCATGCTCTGTCTACCTAAGCTCCTCTGCAGTGCCCGGCTGTGGGGCAGGCCCTGCTTGCTTCTGGAGAGGCCACTGGGCCCTGCCGTGTCTGCCACCTCTCCTCCTACCCTTAGAATGACCGTCCATCTTCTCTCCTGGACGTGCTCCCACCTTCCTGCTGACCTTAGCTACCCCCACACTCCCCAAGGATCAGGCAGCCCCCCTACCCCTGCTCCTCTCTCTGGGCATTCATTCTCTCGGAGAAATTGCTCCTCCAGCTGCTTCAGGAACCCTTTCCATGACAACGACATTGGCCCTGAGATCTTCCCCATCAGCTCTCAAAAAGAGTTTCCTATTTTTCCCTGCAAAACTGACTTCATAATTATTTGTGACCGTGGTGCCACCATTGCCCCACGCACTCAACCTGAAACCCACTCTCTGGCTGTGCAAGAATAGCTTCCTCCAACCATTCTCCAGCCCGGCAGTACTGAGAACTTCCCCATCCCGGTTCCCCGACCTCTGTCGTGGTATCGATCACATGCTATTGGTATGTGTCTATGTCCTGCTTTAGATGATTCATTCCATAAGTATTTATTAAGCACTGATTCTATGCCAGGCCCTACAGATCACAGATTAAAAAGCACAATACGTGCCTTAAGGAGCTCAAAAAATAGGGGAGAAGACAAACATTCATTTAATGACAACAGAGTGTGATGTCTACAACAGTAGAGGTATGGACAAGGTACTGTGGTGGCCCAAGGAAGGGAGTGATCACACGAGTGGGTAATAAAGATTCTCAGAGGAAGAAATGTTTGATGTGGGCCTTCATATTTATATTTTTAAAACTTTTTCTCACAATAAAATTCATGTTCATTATAGGAAAAAAAAAAAGATATGTAGGCTGGGTGAAGTAGCTCACACCTGTAATTCCAGTACTTTGGGAGGCTGAAGCAGGAGGATCACTTGAGGCCAGGAGTTCGAGACCAGCCTGGCCAACATGGCAAAACCCCATCTCTACCAAAAAATACAAAAATTATCTGGGCATGGTGGCACACGCCTGTAATCCCAGCTATTAGGGAGACTGAGGCATGAGAATCACTTGAATCTGGGAGACGGAGTTTGCAATGAGCTGAGATCGTGATACTGAACTCCAACCTGGGCAACAGAGCCAGACTCCGTCTCAAAAAACAAACAAACAAAAGATAACGTAGATAAGCAAAAAGATGAAAAATAGTATCAATAAGAATTCCATCATTCTGTAATAACCATCATTAAAAATTGGCTGGGTGTGGTGGCTCACACCTGTAATCCCAGCACTTTGGGAGGCCGAGGCAGGTGGATCACCTGAGGTCAGGAGTTCGAGACCAGCCTGGTCAACATGGTGAAACCCCATCTCTACTAAAAATACATAAATTAGCCGAAAATGGTGTCAGGCGCCTGTAATCCCAGCTACTCAGGAGGCTGAGGCAGGAGAATCACTTGACAGGTCAGGGGCAGAGGTTGCAGTGAGCTGAGATTGTGCCACTTCACTCCAGCCTGGGAAAAAGAGCAAAACTCAGTCTCAAAAAAAAAAAAAATTAGTGGTCAATTGTAAGAACCCCAGTCTTTTTTCTGTGCACATGTCTATGGCGAAATCGAACCATATTGTACATTTTATTTTATAGTCAGTTTTATTTTCTTTATATATCAAGGCTATCTTCTTGTGAGTGGGTGTGGGGTATTTTTTTTTTTTTTTGGTTTGTTGTTGTCTGAGACGGAGTCTCGCTCTGTCCCCTAGGCTGGAGTGCAGTGGTGCAATCACAGCTCACTGCAGCCTGGACCACCCGAGTTTAAGGGATCCTCTTACCTCAGCCCCGCTAGGAGCTGAGACTACAGGAGCATGCCAACATGCAGCGATAATTTTTGTATATTTTTTGTATAGAGATGAGATTTCACTGTGTTGACCAAGCTGGTCTCAAACTCCTGGGCTCAAGCAAGCTGCTCACCTTGACCTCCCAAAGTGCTGGGATCACAGATGTGAGCCACCATGCCCAGCCCTTCATGTGTGTGTGTGTGTGTGTGTGTGTGTGTGTGTGTGTGTGTGTGTGTAGAGAGAGAGACAGAGACAGAGACAGACAGAGTCTTGCTCTGTCACCAGGCTGGCATGCGGTGGCACGATCTCTGCTCACTGCAACCTCTGCCTCCCAGGTTCAAGCAATTCTCATGCCTCAGCCTCCAGAGTAGCTGGGATTACAGGCACGCACCACCACACCCAGCTAATTTTTTGTCGTCTTAGTAGAAACGGGGTTTCACCATGTTGGCCAGGTTGGTCTTGAACTCCTGACCTCAAATGATCCTTCTGCCTCAGCCTCCCAAAGTGCTGGGATCACAGGCATGAGCCACCATGCCAGCCCTTTATATATTTTTAAGTAGTCTGATACAACACCATTTTGAATGACCACATGCTATTCCATAGGGAAAGTGCCATGGCTGATTTGACCATTCTCCTGTTCTTGGCCATTTTAAGCTGCTTCTAGTTGTTCATAGTTATAAATGTGAGGTAGGCTTTAAAGGACCTGGATACAGGTACTGCAAGTAGCAGTGGACAGGTGGGAAATCTTCAAAGAGTTCCAAGCAGCTAGAGGCAGAGACCAGATGGTGGCTGGCCGGGGGATGGGGGCTGGGATAGGCAAAGGGAACCAAGAACACCAGGCCAGAGAGGAGAGTTTGGGATGGGCGGGAGCAAGTGGAGCCTTAAGAGAATGCCGTGGGAAAGTCAGAGGCTTCAGCCACAAGTGGGAGGAGAAATTTTCAAGGAACTGAATCAGCTAGACAAGGCAGAGAGAAGAATAAGGAAGCTACTATAAAAAAAACAAGAAAGTTCAGGAAGAAAGGGTGGAGGTTGGCCAAGGGCTGTGTGAAGGAAGAGGAGAACCAACCAGAGATATTAAAGAAATGAAGATGACAGGATGGGAGCTTCCAGGTGTTTGGCATGTGATTAAGCATTGTGCATTTTCAAGTATAAATTTTTAATTTTTTTTCAGTCACCTTGATTAAGGATGGCAAATGCCAACGGAAATAAAAAATTTAAAATGTATTTTTCAAGTTTCACAAAACTAAGTAAGTGTAAAAGAAATTCAAGTAAGCTTTCATTTATGGCTTTTTTTCGTGTGTGTGTGTGTGTGTGTGTGTGTGTGTGTGTGTGTGATGGGATCTCACTGTGTCTCCCAGGAATAGTGCAGTGGCATGACCATACCTCACTGCAACCTTGGCCTCCCAGGTTCAAGCCATTCTCCTGCCTCAGCCTCCTGAGTAGCTGGGACTACAGGTGCACACCACCACATTGCCTAATTTTTTTTATTTTTTGTAGAAACAGGATCTTACTATGTTGCCCAGGCTGGTCTTAAACTCCTGGGCTCAATCGATCCTCCTGCCTCTACCTCCTCAAGTACTGGGATTACAGGCTAGAGCCACTGCACTCAGCTGGCTTTTTTTATATGTTTGTAGTACTTGTACTTTCACAGTTATTAAAACTTAAAACTGCTCTAGGACTTTTGGGATACTCTTTAGTAGCTTTTAATTCTCACATACCCCTCTGCAGCAGGTGCTATTGCTGTCCTCTTTTTGCAGCGGAGGAGACGGAGTGAGGGATAGAGAAGCAGAGCCCACATGCAGGCAGCTCCTTGCCTCTGCTTCTTGCCCCCACATGGCTCTGCAGACTTAGGGGAAAAGATGAATTCAGGTTGGGGACTTGTTGGGACAAATTAGATCAAAGAATTACTGGGATGTCAAGGTGGGGATATCCAACCAGAAAATAGAAAACTCAGTCTGAAACTTGGAATAGAGATTTGAGTAGTTGAAGCCTTGGAGGTAGATGAGGTCACTAAAGTAGTGTGTGAAAACAGATTAAATGGGTGGAAATTCCATGAGTCGGAGTCTACTCTAACACCCTCAGACAAAGCCCGTCATCTCTTCCCCTCAGGCTGCAAATATTCTCTCCTAGGGCACTCCCCACAGCCATCCCTCTCCTGCAGACCCTCTTGTTATCCTGGGAAGGGGATAGGGTCCCATGTGAGCCAACCTGGACAGCAGTGCATATGATCATATACAGTCTTCCATCACAACATCCTCAGGCCATCTCTCCCAGGCTCTGCTACTGCCTCCCGTCTTCTTTCCTGGGCACTGGGACTCCAGAATGTCTGTGCCAAAGGAACACAGGTGTGTCTGCATCAAAGGGAGGAAGGCTGTCAAATTTTTTTTAAATTAAAATTGTCAAATTTTTTTAAAAAATTTTTTTCTTATCTGCAGTGCTCAGCACCGAGGCCAGGCCCTATGCTGAGCAGTGCAGATTTAAAAAAAAAAAAAAAAAGACAAATGTCTGTCCCTGCCCTCAAGGAACTCCCAGACTGAGGCAGAAACAGACACACAAGGTGAACACTTCAGTGTGCTATGGTAAGGGCTGTAGAATGAGGAGCCACATGGAGGAGAGGGACCTAGCCCTGGGTGACGGGCAGACAGGCAGGGAGGGCTGGTCAGTACTGGAGATGGCACTACCCGCTGTGGCCTGGTGCTCAGGGGGACAAAGCCCAACTGTGTTGTGCAGGGCTGGGCACCTCAAACCCCTGCCAGACACATCACATCTCTCCTGTCCTTCTCTCTCCCCCTCAGGTTCAGGTGGGTCCCAGTCACAGATGCCTATTGGCAGATTCTCTTCTCCGTCCTCAAGGTCACCAGAAACCTGAAGGAGCTGGACCTAAGTGGAAACTCGCTGAGCCACTCTGCAGTGAAGAGTCTTTGTAAGACCCTGAGACGCCCTCGCTGCCTCCTGGAGACCCTGCGGTGAGTCTGGCCTGGGTTCTGTTCTGAAGCAGGGATGGGGAAGAGATCCAAGGCAGAAGCTGAGTCTGGGCTGAGGGATTTGTCTTTGTATTTATCAAATATTCGTTGAGGCCTTCTCTGGCCGGGATGACTTTAGTAAACAAACACAGATAGGATTTTTTGCTCATAAAAAAAAAAAATTCCTTCATGAAGTGAGGTTTGAGGGAGGTCTGAAGAATACAGAGGATTTAACTAAGCAAAGCAGGAAGGAAAAAGTTCCAGGAAAAGAGAATAGCATGTACAAAGGCTCTGTGGAGAAGGCAGGAGGAGGCAGTCAAGAAACTGAAAGCAGGCCAGTGTGGCTGGAGGGCAGATAGCAAAGGGTTGAGATAAGGCTACAGATACCAACAGGAAGTAGACTATGCCAGGCTTGTGCACCATGTTGGATTTGGGTCTTTTCCTGATGGTGTGGAATTTTAAGCAGAAGGTTGACAAGATCAGTACATTTTCAAAATAGAAACTGGCTGCAACATGAAAAATGGATTGGAAGAGTGCAAAAGTAGAGGCTGGGAAACCAATTAGTAAGAAAATTGCAGTAGTCCCTGCAAAGATGGTAATAGTTTGGACTAAGGAAAATTATAGTACTTTTAAATGTCACAGATAGTCATAGCTTGGACTATGGTATTGGCAATGGATATGGAACAAAGTGGCTAGATGTAAGAGAGCTATAAAAGTAAAATCAACTGGGCTCAGTAATGGATTGAATTTAGGAAAAAAAGGAAGAGGAAGATATCAAGGATGATTTTAGGTTTCTGACCAAAGCAACTCATGGGATAGTGGCATCTTCATCAAGATGGGGAATACTAAAAGAAAAGTGATTGGGGGGTGGAATGTCATGAGTGTGATCTCGTGCTTGCTGGTTTCAAGATCCTTTCAAGGTATCCAACTGGACCTGCCAAATAGGTTTCAAATAAAGCTCTATCCAAAGATAAGATCGCCCCATAAAACAAATCTCAACAAATCTGCAAGGACTGAAATCATACAAAGTATATTCTCTGACCATGATAAAATGAAATTAGAAATCAACAATAGAAGGAAAGTTGAGGAGTTCATAAATACACTGAAATTTAAAAACACACTCCTAAATAACCAAGGGTCAAAGAAGAAATCACAAAGGAAATTAGAAAACACTTTGAGAGGGATGAAAACAAAATCACAACATGCCAAAATGTATTGGATGCAGCTAATGCAGTGCTTAAAGGGAAGTTTATAGTTATAAATACTTCTATTTAAAAAAAAAAAAAAAAAAAAAAAAAAAAAAAGGAAAGATAGAGCCAGACATGATGGCCCATGCCTGTAATCCCAAATCTTTGGAAGGCCAAGGCAGGACAATTGCCTTAGGCCAGGAGTTTGAGACCAGCCTGGGCAACATAGAGAGACTCTGTCTCTACAAAAACATAAAATAAAAAATTAGTTGAGAATGATGATGTGTGCCTGTTGTCATAACTACTTAGGAGGCTGAGACAGGAGTCTCACTTGAGCCCAGGAGTTCAACACTGCAGTGAGCTGTGATTATGCCATTGCACTTCAAGCTGGGCAACAGAGACAGACCTTATCTCTAAAAAAATTACTCAAAATTTTTTTAATTAATGAAAAAAAGAAAAGATACCACTACATACTTATCAGAATGGCCAAAATCCAAAACACTGACAACACCAAATGCTGACGAGGATGTGGAAAAACAGGAACTCTCATTCATTGTTGGTGGGAATGCAAAATGAGACAGCCCCTTTGGAATACAGTCTAGCAGTTTTCTACAAAACAAAATATACTTTTACCATAGGATCCAGCAATCGCATTCCTTGATATTTACCAAAATGAGTTGAATACCTCTGTCCACACAAAAACCTGCACATGAATGTTTATGGCAGCTTTGTTCATCATTGCCAAAACTTGGAAGCAAGCTGCCCTTCAGAAAGTGAATGGACTCATAAATTGTGGTACAAACAGACAATGGACTATTATTCAATGCTAAAAAGAAATAAGCTATCAAGCTACACAAAGATATGGAGAAACTTTAAATGCATGTTACTAAAAGAAGCCAATCTAAAAAGGCTACATGCTGTATGCTTCCAACTATATGACATTCTGGAAGAGGCAAAAACAAGGAGATAGTAAAAAAGATTAGTGGTTTCCAGGGCTTGGGGGAAGGGAGGAATTAATAGAGCACAGTAGAGTTTTAGGGCAGTGAAACTATTCTATATACTGTAATCGTTCATACATATTATTTTACAGCAATCAAAATCCATAGAATGTACACCACCAAGAGTGACCCCTAATGTAAACTATGGACTTTGGGTGATGATGTGTCCATGTCAGTTTATCAATTGTAACAAATGTCACCACAATATACTAGTGTGGTACAGCATGTCAGCAGTGGGAAAGATTGTATGAGGGATGTGGGGACAGGGAGTATATGGGAACTCGCTGTACTTTTTGCTCAATTTTACTGTGAACCTAAAACTACTCTAAAAAATAAAGTCTATTGAAGAAGAAGAAAAAGAAGAAGCAGAGAAATCTCAAATAAGTAACCTAAACTTACACCTTAAGAATTTGTTTTCCTTAGGTCTTTCATGTTAGTAAAGAAATTTTTTTAAAAAGCAAACAAAACCAAAAGCAAGCAGGGGGAAAGAAATAATAAAGACTAGAGTAGAGATAAATGAAACAGAGAATAGAAAACAATACAGAAAACCAATGAAACTAAAAGTTAGTTCTTTAAAAATACCAACAAAATTTGACACCTTTTAGCTAGACTAACTAAAATGTAAGAAGATTCAGATTACTAAAATCAGAAATAAAAGATGGGGTATCACAATTGAACTTACAGAAATAAAAGGATTATAAGTGAATATTATGAAATATTGTAAGCCAACAAATTAGATAACCCAGATGAAATGAGCCAACTTCCAGAAAGACACGAATACCTAAACTGACTTAATAAGAAATACAAAATCTTAATAGACTTATAACAAATAGAGATATTGAATTAGTAAGTTAAAAACTTTCTATGAAACAAAGCCCAGGCCCAGATGGCTTTACTAGTGAATTCTACCAAATATTTAAAGAAGAATTAACACTTATATTTTCAAACTCTTCCAAAAATAGCAGAAAAGAGAACACGTGCCAATTTGTTCTATGAGACCAATATTACCCTGATACCAAAATTAGACTAAGATAACCAAAAGCATCACAAGAGAAAAAAAAAAATCTGCAGGCCAACATCCTTTATGAATATATATGCAAAATTACATAACAAAATACTGGCAACATATAAAAAGGATTGTAGACCATGACCAAATGGGATTTATCCCAAGAATGCAAATTGGGTTTAACCTAGGATAATTGATCAATGTAATGCAAGATGTTAATAGAATAAAGAACACAAACCAATGATTATCTCAAAGACACAAAAAAAGCATTTGACAAACCCTCAACACCTTTTCACATTGGAAACACTCAGCAAACTAGAAATAAAAGGGAACTTTATCAACCTGATAAAGTTGTTACCAGTAAAAAAACCCACAGCTAACATTATACTTAATGGTGGATGACTGAGTGCTTTCCCCCTAAGATTAGGAATAAGACAAAGATGTCTGTTCTTGCCATTTCTATTCAACACTGTACTCAAGGTTCCATCCAGAGTAATTAAGCAAGAAAATGAAATTAACAGCTTCCAGATTGAAAAGAAAGTAATTAAACTATTATTTGCAGGTGACATGACATTGTATGTAGAAAATCCTAAGGAATCTACAAATATTAAAATTAGGGCCAGGTGTGGTGGCTCATGCCCTGTAATCCCAGCACTTTGGGAGGCTGAGGTGGGTGGATTGCTTGAGTTCCGGAGTTCAAGACCAGCCAGGGCAACACGGCAAAACCCTGTCTCTACCAAAACTACAAAATATTAGCCGGGCGTGGTGGCACACGCCCACAGTCCCAGCTACTCAGGAGGCTGAGGTGGGAGAATCGCTTCAGCCTGGTAGGCAGAGGTAGCAGTGAGCTGAGATTGTGCCACTGCACTCCAACCTGGGTGACAAAGGGAGACCCTGTTGAAAAAGAAAAAAAAAAAAAACTAATGATTTCAGCAAGGTTTCAGGAAACAAGATCAATATACAAAAATTAGTTGTGCTGCTATACACTAGCAATGAACAATCCAAAAATTAAATTAGGAAAACAATAAATTTAACAAAAGAAAACTTGTATACAGAGAACTACAAAAAATGGTTGAAAGAAATTATGTAAGACCTAAACAAATGAAAAGATGTCCCATGTTCATAGATTGGAAGACTTGATATTATTAAAATGACAATACCCCCCAAACTGATCTATAGATTCAACACAATCCCTAGCAGAATCCCAGCTGCCATTTTTGCAGAAATGGACAAGCTGATTCTAAAATTCACGGGCAAAAATAAGATTGCATGTCAAGCCTGGGGAACACCCCCACCCCAGTATTTAATGGCCAAAGAAGAGCCAACAAACAAGCCTGAGAAGGAGGGGCCACATAGATGAAAGGGACACCAGGAGAGAGAGGTGTCATGGAACCCAACAGAGCAGAGGGTCTCAAGGAGGTCAGCAGGGACTACTGCTGCTGGGAGGTCAAGATAAGGACTGAAATTTGTCCATTGGATTAGTGATAGGAAAGTCATGAATAACCTCAGCAGAAGTACCTTATGTGGCATGAAGAGGCGAGAATGCAGACTGGAGTGCATTAAAGAGGGAGAAGGAGGTAAAAAATGAGACCACAAATATACTTTCTTCAAAGACTTTGATAGTGAAAAGGAGGAAAGCACTAAAGCAGAGGGGATGGTGGGCTGAGTAAATGTGTGTGTCTGTCCATCTGCTTACTTGCATTTAAGAAGGAAAAGATCTCAGTTTGAGAATCAGTGAGGAGGAGTGATAAAAGACACAAGAAGGAGAAGGAGTCATTGATGGCTCTCTATCCTCAGAGGGAGGAGGGAGGAGAAAGATTGGCCTTGGAAGAGGGAGGAAATGTCTCCTTTACTGTAACAGGAGGGGAGATGAGGACAGGGAAGAGAGAGGTAGGAACATAGGTTTCACTCTGAGAAGCTGAGAGGTTCCCATCTGATGGCTTCATTTTTCTCTGAGAAATAGGAATTGAGTTGTTTGCTAGGAGTGAGTGTGAGGGTTGAGGTGTTGGATGTTTGGAAAAGGCAAGATCTTCAAATGGCCATAGTAGAGTGTGAGATCTCTGCCAGTCAGGCATTGCTGTGGCCCATGTGAGGGTCGTGGTCATGATTCAAGATGGCAGCCACCTACCCTGTTGCACAGGTGGGAGTTTGGGTGGAGAGTGGAAAGATAGCAGAATTCAGGGTTAGCCAGAGGAATGTGATGGAAGGTCAGAGGGTAAGAAATTCAGGATACTGCCAATGAAGGATCATGGAATCTAACCTACATTCCAAGGAAATTGAAGAAAAGAAAGTGATAAGAGATTGAAAGAAAGGAGATTGTAAGAAAGGAAAGCAATCAAGAGATTGTTCATTAAAAAGGAGTTACAGTGGGAGAAGTTGAGCAGGCAGAGTAAGGAGGCAAGCCCAGCCTCGTGCTGTGACTTTCTGTATCCTTATGAGGCTGCTCTACCCACTCCTAAGACCTATCCAAGGAGAACCACCAGAGTCCAGTAAAAATGCTTTTGAGCAGGACTAAGGAATCCTGGTTCTACCTCAAACTTCACACCCCAGTAGGAAGACACCAATCTTCAATGTACTCTTTTTACATTGGCATAAAATTTCACTATCTCAAACCCAAACAACTCCATATCTGTTAATTCCTTGGGCCTTCCAAAAAACACCCTGCAAAAATGGCAGAGCAGGGACAACTATTTCCATTTTCCATATATAAAGAAATGGGCTGGGGAAGGACATTCCCTGGAGCCAGACACACACAGGTTCAAATCTTGCCTCTAACGGTTACAGATTGAAAACTATGGGTAGGTTTCTTTAGCAAGTTTCAGTTTACTCATTAATAACATGGATTCACCATGTCTGTTGCACAAGGTGGCTGCAAAGTCAAAGGAGATCATGTATGCTATGTACTTAGGGTCATGTGTGCTATGTATTTAGGGTTATGTATGCTGTGTACTTAGGACATGTATGCTATGTACTTAGGGTCATGTATGCTATGTATTTAGGGTCATGTATGCTATGTACTTAGGACCATGTATGCTATGTACTTAGGTTCATGTATGATGTGTATTTAGGGTCATGTATGCTATGTATTTAGTGCCTAAGTTGTCCTAAGAGGCTCAGAGAAATTAACGACTTGCCAAATTCACATAGTTAGCAGTGGGAGAGCTGGACACAACTCAGTGAGGGCAAGACCCAGCACCAACACCTACCTCCTCTGTATCAGGTAAGCCGGGGCCTGATTAATTCTGGCTCACTGGGGGTAGCACCATAAAAAGAAAGAAAATCTGGATCAGGCAAATGTGAATATTTCCCACAATAAAAACATCTCCATATGGAAGAGTGTACAGCCTTACACACGCTTGGATGCCAGACTACCCAAGACCCGCAAGCAAAGTCCTAACTATTGTATTTCTCTTTTTTTATTTACCTACATCTCCTCATTTCCTCCCCCTCCTCGCCCCTGATAACCACCATTTATTCTTTCTTTGTATGTATTTTGCTTTTTTAATATTTCACCCACAAGTGAGACCATGTAGTGTTTTTCTTTCTATGTCTGGCTTATTTCACTTTTGGATTTATCTTGAAATGCATTGAATAAGCTGGTGTCAGGAATTCTGGGGTTTTGTCACTAATGGCCTGTAAAATTGAGCACATTACGCAGACAAAGGAGAAATTGGCGGGAGTGGGGTTGGAGAGCTCAAAAAAGGAATGCCGGAAAGAGCAAGGTCAGGGGAGAGACCAGACAGAGGGTGTGGAATCGAAGACACATGAGGGTGGACCCTTGGCCTCCTCTGGAACAGAAGAGAAAGGACTATGTGATGACACAGGCAGCTGAGGACGGAGAGGTGGAGGGACATTGAGGGTTTTGGTTTCCACAGCAGCAGCATCCTTTAAGCACTAACCTTCTGCCAGGGGCTTCCCTAAGAACATGGCATACATGATCTCCTTGGATCTTGCAGCCAGCTGGTACAATAGACATGGCAGATCCATGATACTGATGAGTGAACTGAAACTTGGTAAAGACATCTGCCATAGTCTTCAACTTGTAACTGACAGAGGCAAGATTTGAATCCATCTCTGTCTAGCCCCAAAGCCTGTGCCCTTCACCTGCCCACTGGGGTCACTGCTGCCCAAGGTCAGATGGCCTCAGCCTCCTCACAGAGGTCCAATACCAAGTGTCTTCACTGGGGCTTGGGAGTGGGTAGGATTGGAGGAGGGAAGTCCACACAGCACAGCTTGTAATGGTAAGTTGTTTAAAAATAAATAAAGCCCCAAGAGAGGCACATTTGTTTATGCTGAGATGAGTCCTGGGGGCAGGAACATGCCTAGTGAAAATGAGCTTGTCAACAAGCAGGAAATCAGATAAGCCAGGTGGGTAGAACCGACCACCCAGGGAGAGAGTGGGCTGGCAGGAGACAGCCATCTGGGAAGTAGGCCCTCAGCTGTGAGATGCCAGCCACAGGCAGTGAGCACAGAGCCACATCTGCCAGCTGCGTCTGGACTTTCTTGGGCCACACTCTGCAGCTCAGGGTTGGAAGCAGAGAAGGAAGACAGTGATTGTCCAGGGAGACGTTACCGAGGGCCTGGTGCACTCTAAAATCCAAGTGCTCTACAATGCCACATACTGAGTCGTGTGTGTGTGTCTGTGTGTGTCTGTGTGTGTGTCTGTGTCTGTGTCTGTGTGTGTATGTGTGTGTGTGTCTGTGTGTCTGTGTGTGTGTGTCTGTGTGTGTGTCTGTATGTGTGTCTGTGTGTCAAAGTGTGTGTCTCTGTGTATGTCTGTGTATGTGTGTGTGTATCCGTGTGTGTCTGTGTGTGGGTGTCTGTGTCTGTGTGGGTGTCTGTGTGTGTGTGTGTGTGTGTCTGTGTGTCTGTGTGTAAGAGAGACAGGGGGAATTGGGGTTTCGCTCTGTCACCTAAGCTGGAGTGCAGTGGTGTGATCATGACTCAATGCAGCCTCAAACTCCTGGATACGAGCCATCCTCCCACCTCGGCCTCCAAAAGTGTGGGGATTACAGGCAGGAGTCACCACACCTTGCCAGGATGTGTGTTTAATGCAGCTGACCTTAAATTCCTGGCTGGATAGGAAAGTCCAGAAGGAAGCCAGAGAAAAACAAAGGGGAAAAGTAGGTCTTATGAGAGCAAGGAAAGACAGAGATTTTTGGAGAGGATGGAGAGTGGTATTTGAGTCCAACCAGAAGGATAACCAGGCCCCACCTTCAGCCTCCTTCCCCCTCACACACAGCCGCTCCCATAATCATATCAGATGGCCGCTCCCACAGTGTCTGCCAACCCTGCATCTGCAGCTCCAGACCCAAACCCAACACCCTCCTCTGAGGTGTCCCAGAGGCTCCTGAAATTCAGCCTATTCTTACCTAGACTATCCTCCCTAACTAAAAACAAACTGTTCCTCCTCTCAGAACCAACTGCATCATTTTCAGGACCCAATACAAAATGAAAATGCAGTGTCCTAGCTCAAAAGTCAGGATGAAAGTGCTGTTAAAGGTACTACGATACAGAGCTTTTTCTTTCTTCCATAGTTTCTCTCTCAACCTATCACAGTGTATTTTATTTGCTATTTAACAATGCATTCCCTTGGGCACTGGGACACTAGCAGTGTTTGTCCAGACCCTCAAAGGTGCTCGGAGGCCTCTCCACAGCTCAGCATGTGCACATGGTGCACCAGATGCAGGGTGCCTCTCCCACAAGTCACCAGATCCAGGCACCATGCCCCAGAGTGGGTAAAATGTCAAGCCAGACATGTCTCCTTCCCATGGGCCACCACCCCAGCCTAAAGCAGATGGGAGACCCTCCAGGGTATTGCCAGGATGCATTAGGTATCTAGATCAGTGGTGGGGGAGATTTGCCCCCACCAAATCACCAAATGTGCCATGATGCTGCCAGCCCAAATCGAGAAAGGCTGCCACCTGCCCTACCCCAAGATGCCCCACCCCAACCTACCCATGCCTGATCCAGGCCCCCACCAGAGATAAAGCGTGGCAATAATCACTGGGCTGAGGTTGAGTGGGGGCCCCACAACACTCAAATGCAGGATGACCAAGAACTATTTCCCCTAGAGGGAGGGAGGGAGGTGGCAGGAGATGGCATCACCTATGAGCTGAGGCTCCATGGTCCCATCAGACTTCACCTACAAAACACAAATTTAAAGACAAAATTATTAAGAAATTCAAGATGGCCACCACAGAGCATTAACCCCCCCAATCTAGAAGGGTCCTTCTCACACCCCTGCCAGTTCCGGGTCCTTCTGAGCACGGGGCCCTGTGCAACCACCCTGGTTGTACACCAATGAAACTGACACTCTTCTAACATCTGCTTTCTCAGTAAGTGACAGCAGCTTCTACTCTGAATCCAACCTTGAGGCCTCCCTGGACTCCACTGAGTGCCACAGGGTCTGCTCCAAACATCTCCCGAAGTCGCTGCTCTGACAGTTGCTCATCCTCCCCCACAGACCCCTTGCCTCCTGCCTTTCCCCACCCAGCCACCTCCACTTCCTCAGGGATCTTGCATTTTTTTTTTTTTTATTTGAGATGGAGTCCTGCTCTGTCACCCAGGCTGGAGTGCAGTGGCATGATCTCAGCTCACTACAACCTCCCTCAGGGATCTTTCTAAAGCAATGCAGAGACCACATCACTGCTGGCCTCAGGAACTTTCATGGGCTCATCACTGCCACAGGGAAATAGGTCTAAACATCTTATAATGACATCCAAGACCTACTACTATCTTGATATTTTCTAGCTTTACCCTCAGACTTTCTCTCTACCTGGGTAGCCTTTACGCTAACATCACTATACTAACCGCGTGCTGTGATTTCACATCTGCCCTACCAGCCACGCGTGCCCCTGCCTCCGCCCTCACCTCAGTGAATCACTCATTTAAGTTTCACCGTTTCCACCCTGCCTTGGCAATCACTCATTCCTCTGCCTTCAGCTGCACCTGACTTGCCCCTCTTTTGAGGCTATTTCATTCATTTATTTACTACATACTTACTAAGCACCTACTGTATGCTAGACCCTGCTCTGGGCACTGGGATATGACTAGTAATGAAAATGGGGCTGGGCACGGTGGCTCACGCCTGTAATCCTAACACTTTGGGAGGCTGAGGTGGGTGGATCACCTGAGGTCAGGGGTTGAAGACCAGCCTGGCCAACATGGCGAAACCCCGTCTTTACTAAAAATACAAAAATTAGCCGGGCATGGTGGCAGGCACCTGTAATCCCAGCTACTCAGGAGGCTGAGGCAGGAGAATCACTTGAACCCAGGGCGCGGAGGTTGCAGTGAGCCGAGATCACGCCACTGCACTCCAGCCTGGGTGAAAGAGCGAGACTCCATCTCACAGAAAGAAGGAAGGGAGGGAGGGAAGGAGGGAGGGAGGAAGGAGAGAGAAAGAAAGGAGGGAGGGAGGGAGGAAGGAAGGAGAAAGAGGAAAGGAAGGAAGGAAGGAAGGAGAGGGAGGGAGGGAGGGAGGGAAATGGGCAAAATTCCTTCCTCAAGGAGCTTACATTCTAGTTGGGAGGGAGGACAAGAAGCCAAATAAGTAAGTAAAATATATTGTGAGTGACATGAGCTATAGAGAAAAGTAAAGCAGAAAGGAGCAGGGAGTCTGGGGATGGGTGTGCAATTTTAAGTGGAGAGACGAGGCAAGATGTCACCAAAGCGACTTCCTTCTGAGCAAAGACCTGACGCAAGTGGAGGAGCACCCCATGAGGTGTCAGCACCAGAAGATTGTTCCAGGCAGAAGAAGCAGCAGAAGCAGCAGGTGCAGAGACCTTAGGTGGAACTGTGCCTGGGGTGAGGAAGGAAGAGAGAGAAGGGCAGTGACTATGGACCTAAAAGAGATTAGAGATGAGGACAGAGATGATGAGGATCCAAGTCCCCAGAGCCCTGTAGACCAGGAAAAGGACCGTGAATTGTATTCTGAGTAATGTGGGAAAACATTGGAGGGTTTTAATCAAAAAGGATCAAAAAACTAACTATTATGTGTTTCTATGTCTATCCCCAAGTACCATGTGCATTTCTGGGGCCTGGGAGGGTTTTCTAGACCTCTGCCTGGCCCACAGGCCTGGTGCATAGTAGGTGATTAATGGTTGCTTATGGGTGTCTGTTGAATCAACAGGTGAGTAACCTGAAGACCATGGGTGTGTGTCTTCCACAGGTTGGCTGGCTGTGGCCTCACAGCTGAGGACTGCAAGGACCTTGCCTTTGGGCTGAGAGCCAACCAGACCCTGACCGAGCTGGACCTGAGCTTCAATGTGCTCACGGATGCTGGAGCCAAACACCTTTGCCAGAGACTGAGACAGCCGAGCTGCAAGCTACAGCGACTGCAGTAATTGTTCTTGGTGGGCAGGGGGAGGTGGAGGGAACTGCCTGCCACCATGAGGCAGGCAGAGGGTAAGAGCAGAGAGAAGGTGAGACCTGCTTTGTGGGAGTGGGAGGAGCCTACAGGATCTCAGCCAGGCAGTAGAGGCTCAGGAGGAAGCTCATCCACCCTTGGACAGAGGGAGGGGGCCTCCAGGCTCCAAATACAGCAAGAGAAGCCAAGTCGAGTCAAGGGACGTGAATGCAAGGTGGGGACAGGGGGCAGAATTTGTGGCCATTTTCACAGACTACCACAGAGGATGATGATAATCGTGCCCACTTCATAGAGCTATGAGGATTGCAGCAGTGTTTTTCTATTCTTCTCCTGTTCCCACGAGCTGTGATCTGCCTAGTAACAGGTCCTCTTACTTGGCATGGGGTTCTGCCATGGAGAGCTGAAATCACTGGTGTCCACTTAGTTCGATTTACTATCTCATCCGAGGGGACAGAGCCATCCCCCCCGCCACCATGTAGAAACAAGTGAGGCGCCCTGGCTCATGCCTGTCATCCCAGCACTTTGGGAGGTCGAGGCAGGCAGATCACTTGAGGTCAGGAGTTCCAGACCAGCCTAGCCAACATGGTGAAACCTTGTCTCTACTAAAACTACACAAAGTAGCCAGGCGTGATGGTGGGCACCTGTAATCCCAGCTACTCAGGGAGCCTGAGGCAGGAGAATTGCTTGAACACAGAAGGTAGGCATTGCAGTGAGCTGAAATCACCTCATTACACTCCAGCCTGGGCAACAGAGCGAGACTCCTTCTTAAAAAAGAAAAGAAAAGAAACAAGAGTGCATAGTTACCTCTCCCTGGTCCTGCTGGGCCTCCTCCCTTGATGCACAAAGTTATACACACCCCTCTGTGCACCCGCTCAGGGGGCTGCCTTCAGGGTCTTCTTTTGTTTCTGCCCAAGCCCTGAAATATCCTTGTTTACACCTTGCGAGATCTTTGTTCACACATCACACGTCCCTTCCTTCTTCCCAAGGCCAAACCTCTGCCCTTCCCAAGGCTATTGCCTGCTTCCCCATTCAGTAATCCTGATCAAGAGTTGATGGGAAGGGGGCATGGGAAGGGGAGACAACGAGGATCCTCTCCTAGTATCAGGGGTCGGCGATCCCTGGTCGGCTAGGAAGTCGGTAACACTTGTCAGATTTAATCCTCGCTACATCTACAGAAGACAAGATTGGATCTCGGAGAGATTCATTATTTTCCCAAGGCCACATAGCCAGGAAGTAGCTGCACCAGGATTTGAAGCCAGGTCTGACCTCAAAGCCTGGTTTTCCATTCTCCCTGTTCCCTCTCTTAGCGAAGGCCCTGGAATGCTTTGTGACATTTACAAGCTTGGACTGCAGCTGGGTCTGAGCAGACCCAGCTGGGAGAGCCAACAGTTCTAGAAGCAGGGCTGAGACCCCAAGAGCAGAGGATCCCCAGACAGGAGAACCCCCAGAGAGAGCCTACATATATACAACATACAGCAGGTACATAGCCCTTTTCTGGCATAAATGGTAGCACAGCACAAACTCTGCCCTGCACTTTGCTTTATCAGTTAAAATATATCTTGGAGATGGTCCCACATCCGTACGTACAAAGTCACATCATTCTTTTTAATCACAGCATGGAATTTCACTACATGGACTTACCATCATGTTTTTATCCATCGCCTATTATGAGCAGCCAGATTGTCTCCAGTGTTTGCTGTAAACAGGGCAGCAGTTAACATCCCCCAGTGCGTCCTGAGACCCAGCATATTATCTGTAGCTTAACTTCCGAAAAATGGAACTGCTGGGAAAACGATATGTTGCTAATTTTGCCCTCTAAAAAGGCCCTACCGGCCGGGCACGGTGGCTCACCCCTGTAATCCCAGTACTTTGGGAGGCCTGGGACACAGAGTGAGAACTCGTCTCAAAAGAAAAAAGAAAAAGAGAAAACAGATAGACCCAGGTGTACAAGTGGGACATTGAGTAAGTTACTCATCAATGTGGACAGAGTGAGGGGACTGGATCAGTGTGAATCACACAGGATTGAGAAAGGGTAGGTGCTGGCATCCTGAGGGGTTCCGTGGCTGCAAGAGGAAAGTGAAAATCTCTCAGGTTACCGCAAGCCAGGAAAGTTTGTATCTTCTCTGCATGTCATCCCAGACCCTCAAAAGGCCACAGATGCTGAGAAGGAAGATCAGACCCTAGTTACCCTGAAGAGCGAGCCCTTAGGACAATGACCTGGGCTGGCGTGTATCTTTCCTGCAGGCTGGTCAGCTGTGGCCTCACGTCTGACTGCTGCCAGGACCTGGCCTCTGTGCTTAGTGCCAGCCCCAGCCTGAAGGAGCTAGACCTGCAGCAGAACAACCTGGATGACGTTGGCGTGCGACTGCTCTGTGAGGGGCTCAGGCATCCTGCCTGCAAACTCATACGCCTGGGGTAAGGCCCTGTGGGTCCCTTCTGGGCAGAGGGAAGAGGGTTGGGGGGGTATCGGACAGGGGATGGAAAAAGGACTGATAAATGCATAGCCAACCCAAGTTTCTTACCAGCTCTACCACTTACACTGTGTGACTTGGACAAGTCGCTGAATTCTCTGGGACTCTGTTTCCTCATCTGTGGAATGGGAGTATCATACCCACTTCATGGATTGTAATGAAATAAAATGTATATAAAAACAAGGACAGGCAGGGCGTGGTGGCTCACGCCTGTAATCCCAGCACTTTGGGAGGCCGAGGCGGGTGGATCACTTGAGGTCAGGAGTTAGAGACCAGCCTGGCCAACATGCTGAAACCCCATCTCTACTAAAAATATAAAAACTAGCTGGGCATGGTGGTGTGCACCTGTAATCCCAGCTACTTGCAGGGAGAATCACTTGAGCCTGGGAGGCAGAGGTTGCAGTGAGCTTAGATCACAGCACTGCACTCCATCCTGGGCAACAGAGTGAGACTCAGTCTCAAAAATTAATTAATTAATTAAACAAATAAAATAAAAACAAGGACAGTGCTGGGAAGAGAGTCGGGCATGATCAAATGATAACTATTACTGAGGCTGCATGCTCTAGGGGACGCTCAGGTTCCCCTCACTCCAGGGCAGCGCTTCATTCATTCATTTACTCATTCATTCATTCACTGAGTGCCTCCCGTGTGTAAGCACCAGACCAGGCCTTGGGGTACAATAGTGACCAAACAGACATGGGCCCTGCCCTACTGAAGCTTCTACTCTAGTGGGGAAGAGACGGACACTGGTCACCTGTAAATGCACAAGTCTATATTTATGAGCTCTGTGGAGTGAAAGGAAAGTACAGGGTATTATGAGAATGTAATATTGAGGGAGGATGGGATTTGATCAAAGGGCCAGGGAGGACTTCCCTGAGACAGTGACGTCAGGCTGAGGTCTGAAGGAGGAATAGGTACCCAGGCCAAGTTGGGGAGAGTATTCTAGGCCTAGGGATGGTGTGGGGAAAGGCCCAGAACAAAGAGGCACTTGAGCCCCGGAGAACTGAAGGACCCTGAGTGGAGTGAGCCCCCAGCCCTCATTTCCCATCCCGTAGGCCCCAGAGATTCTTGCCCTTCCCCGAGGAGCCACCCCCACACTATCTCTGGGCCACTTCTGCTCCCCTCCACCTCCCTGGGAGCAAGCCCATGAGTGGCTTCTGTCTTGACACTTACCCACGGCTCCTGCCAGGGGCCCTGCCACATCTCAGGGAGCAGACAGGGGCTCCAAACCCCCACATCCAGAGCCTTCTCAGAGGGGGTCCGGGAAGCCTGGGCCTCGGGCTTTCCTCAGCCAGGCCTCCCAAACCTAAAGAAGTGGTCAAGGCAGAATAACAGAAATAAATAGTCTACATTTGGGTTCTCCTGTAGCTGACACTGGCTATCTACAACCATGGGAACTCCATCCCAAGGGGGCAGCACCTTTGCACCCCAGCCTGCTGCTCCCCACTGAGTATTTTTGGCTATCACTACCTCCCTTATGCTGAAGAGCCTTTCCCCAGAGCTTGGCCATGGCAGGCAGATATGGCTTCAGGCCCCAGCTCAACACTTACCTGTCAAACCTGGGCTGCTTCTGAGGGGGTTTGCTCTCTAGAGTCCCGAGTAGGTTTCCACCTCCTTCCCTCCTGGAGCCGGGACTTAGTTGAGAAGAATAACCTTCTACTTCAAGGTCTGCGCTCCTCCCCAGGGGCAGAACAGCTCTAACAGCAGTAGGGGAATGAATGCAGAGCCCTTCGCAGAAGACAGGGTCTTTTCACCGCCTCCTTGTCTGGGCCTCAGAACAGGCAGGGCAGGATTGATTCATCCTACGTGGTAGATGGAGGACACAGAGACCCAGAGAAGACAATCAGCATCTCACATCTGGCAGAAACCCCAGACCACAAGGCCTGGGAGGATGGAACCAGGACTCTCTCTTCCCAGCAAAACTTCCGACCACTGGGAAGAAAATCCCAGGACCCAGGCCTGAGGTGGTCATTTTGAGGCCATGGGGAAATCCCTGGCAGCCGGCTGTAGAGACAGCCTCTGCCAGTGAGAGCCACCTCACCCAAGGCCACATCTCCTTCCTGGGGAGGCCCACATCCGATGACTGGCCAATGTTGGGGTAGAAAGGCCCAGCCCCTCAACCCAACTCCTTTAAACAGCTCTAAAGGATCATCTCCCAGAGTTGGCTGAGGCCTCCATTGGAGACTGCCTCACAGCCCACGTCTCCCCGATTCCCTCCCTTCCCTTGCCCTGGCATTGACCCAAGAACACACCCTAATGAATCTCCTCACTGTACCCTCCTCCTCAGAGCCTGGCTTCCAGGGAACCCACCCTGCGGCCGCTGCCTCAGAAGGTGACAGGTCCCAGGATTCTGGGCCCTGGGGACCTGGGGACCACATGGGGGATCCCAGGAGGACCCGGCTCCCTTTGTGCTTTCAGGCTGGACCAGACAACTCTGAGTGATGAGATGAGGCAGGAACTGAGGGCCCTGGAGCAGGAGAAACCTCAGCTGCTCATCTTCAGCAGACGGTAAGGGGGGACCCAGAACTCCCTCTGGCTGACCCAGGCCCAGGGCTGAGCAGGAGACAGGGAAAGAGCCATGGGGTGAGAGACAAACACAGCCAGGGAGAAACCCAGACACCACAGCAGCCAGAGTGAGGTGCACTTGTCAGTGCAAGTAGAATCAAATCCCCCCTTGCTTCAACTCTTAACGTTAGACAAACAAGGAAAGGAAAACATGAAAAAGTAAGTGGGCTAAAAAATTAGCCAGGCGTGGTGGCGGGTGCCTGTGGTCCCAGCTACTCAAGAGGCTGAGGCATGAGAATAACTTGAACCCAGGAGGTGGAGGCTGCAGCGAGCCAAGATCGCGCTACTGCACTCCAGTCTGGGTGGCAGAGCAAGACTGCATCTCAAAAAAAAAAAAAAAAAAAAAAAGCCGGGCATGGTGGCTCACGCCTGTAATCCCAGCACTTTGGGAGGCTGAGGCAGGTGGATCATGAGGTCAGGAGTTCAAGACCAGCCTGACCAACATGGTGAAACCCTGTCTCTACTAAAAATACAAAAATTAGCTGGGTGTGGTGACGCACGCCTGTAGTCTCAGCTACTTGGGAGTCTGAGGCAGGAGAATCACATGAACCCAGGAGACAGAGGTTGCAGTGAACCAGGATCACGCCATTGCACTCCAGCCTGGGTGACAGAGCAAGACAACATCTCAAAAAGAAAAAAAAAAGAACAAGAAAAAGTCAGTGGGTGGGTGAGCCAGCGAATCCCCTGGACCCAGCACAGCATGATACCAAATGGCCTCTAGTCCAGGAATCCTTCCATGAAGAACAGAGAAGGTTTGGAACAATGAAAGCGATGATCACAAGAGGGAGATAAAGACAGAGAGAGAGAGCGCCTGTGCCCTGGGAAAAAGACCATCCTCGCCATCACCGTCACCCACCACCCTCACCACCACCACCACACACACCCCTGACTTGAGGGGCAAGCCCCGGGGCCAGGAAAGTCCATCTTCCCTTCCCCGAGGAATCTGCTGCAGCTCCCACATTCTCCCAGTTGGGTGCATTTCCACCTGACCATGAAGCTCATCTGTCCCCAGGTTCCTGGCTGCTGTGGCTCACCTGAAATGGAAGGAAAACAGCTCCTAGGCTTAAGAGGAGCCATTTATTCATTGAACAAACATTCCCTGCAGACCCACTATGTGTCGGGCACTGTTTGGGGATCTAAGGACACAGCAGTGAACAAGAAAGACACAACCCAACCTCCAGGAGCTTAGTCCAGCAGGGAGACAGGCACAGGTTATCCCAGAAGTGTCTGCGCAAATGCACCTGGGGTCAGTGTGAGTGCACCTATGGGCCTATTTGACCTGGTCAAGAGGATCTGGGCTGAGGTCTGAAAGACAGGACAGGTTGGCTGGGCCCAAGAAGGGGTGGAGTCCAGGCAGAAGTAGAGGCTCTGAGAGAGAAAAGAGTTTAGCCTCCTGGAGGAATGGGAGGCCAGGCGTCAGGAGCAGCTACTCAAACTGTGGTCCGTGGACCAGCAGCATGAGCATCACCCTCACTGGGAGCTCGATAGAACTGCAAATTCTCAGGCCCCACTCCAGACCCACTGAATCAGAATCTCTGGGGTGGGGCCCAGGAATCTGTGTCTTTTTTTTTTTTGAGACAGAGTCTCGCTCTGTCACCCAGGCTGGAGTGCAATGGCATGATCTCGGCTCACTGTAACCTCTGCCTCCCAGGTTCAAACCATTCTTATGCCTCAGCCTCCAGAGTAGCTGGGACTACAGGTGCATGCCACCACACCCAGCTAATTTTTGTATTTTTAGTAGAGACGGGGTTTTACCATGTTGGCCAGGCTGGTCTCGAACTCCTGACCTTGTGATCTGCCCGCCTCAGCCTCCCAGAGTGCTGGGATTCCAGGCGTGAGCCACCGCGCCCGGCTGAATCTGTGTCTTAACAAGCCTTCCAGATGATTGTTAAGCGCACAGTTTGAGAACCGATGGACTAGAGGTCAGTGAGCCAGGAAAAAGTGGCCCAGGTGACATTGGAGGGTGACAGAGGCCCTGGCAAGCCCTTTTGGACTATGTTAAAAACTTTCCATTTTCCCCCAGAAGCAATGAAGCGACATTACAGGGTTGCAGCAGCCAAGTGATGGGTCAGGTTCCTATTTCAAGATTGGCTGCTGTGTAGAAAATGGGCGGCAGAGGGACCCGAGCAGAAGCAGGGAGACCTTTCAGAGGATGCTGCAGTGGTGCGGGCCACAGAGGCCAGGGCCTGGGACTCAGGTGGAGGTCATGGAGGTGGAGAGAAGACAATAGAAAGAAGAGCTATTTGAGAGGTGTTGTCAAGGTGATCAGCTCTTAGGGTGGGCGAGGAAGGAGTTGGGATGACACCCCAGCTCTAGCCTGGATGCATGGGTGGATGGAGGCTGCTCACAGAGACAGGGACCACAGAAGAACCACAGGATTGAGTTCAAATTCGGATGGAGTTTTTTTGTTTGTTTTGTTTTGTTTGAGACAGGGTCTGGCTCTGTCACCCAGACTGGAGTGCAGTGGCACAATCTCAGCTCACTGCAACCTCTGCCTCCTGGGCTCAAGTGATCCTCCCACTTCAGCCTTCCAAGTAGCTGGGATACAGGTGCATGCCACCATGCCCAGCTAATTTTTGTATTTTTGGCAGAGATGAGGTGGGGAGGTCTCACTATGTTACCCAAGCTGGTCTCGAACTCCTGAGCTTAAGCTATCCACCCATCCCGGCCTCCCAAAGTGCGAGGATTACAGACATGAGCCACTGCACCCGACCCGAGGAGGAGTTGAATTTTTAGTGGGAATGTCATGTGGACAGCCCTCGCTTCCTCCAAGATCTTAGGCAGAATGAACAATTCTTTGTCCAGGAAACCAAGTGTGATGACCCCTACTGAGGGCCTGGATACGGGAGAGATGAGTAATAGCACATCCTCACTCAAGCGGCAGAGACTCGGATCAGGTAGTTTGAAGGGGCAAGGCTGGGAGCATCGTGACAGGGGTTGGGGGAGGTCAGCTGTGGGAGGTCATTCCCTCCATCCCTCTGCCCCTGATGTGGGACGGGGCAGGTTTCCTACCCAAGAGGGTGCTACCCCCACGAGAGAGCTCCCACTCCTAGGAACTGGCTGGATTTCCGTTACCCTCTCTCCGAGACCCACCGGCTGGTGCTTCCCCTCTCCAGAACGTCTATGGCATGTATCAAACCCTGAACCGGGGTCCGGCCTCTTCCATTCTTGGCTGCTAAGGCCTGGGAATCACATCTCCATCTTTGCCCTGCCATCTAAAAAAAAAAAAAAAAAAAAAAAAACAGAGTCTCACTCTAGTGTTCAGGCTGGAGTGCAGTGGCATGTTCATGGCTCACTGCAGCCTAAACCTTCTGAGCTCAAACAATCCTCCCACCTCCGCCTCCTGAGTAGAACTGGGACTGCAGATGCTCACCACCATGCCTGGCTGATATTTTTCTTTTTTCTGTAGAGAGGGCGGCTTCCCATGTTGCTCAGGCTAATCTCAAACTCCTGGACGTGAGCAAGATCTTCCCAATTGCTGAGATTGCAGGCAAGAGCCACGGTGCCTGGCCCCTTTCATCTTTTGAACCATGTTCTCTCTCAACCTGCCCACCTGGGCATGCTGGGGAGAGTGGCACTTCTATTCCAGTGGGGAAGGGGAGATGGGCGGAGGCTGGGCTGGAGGCACTGGAGTGGGGCTCCCCAGACAGCAGGCAGGCAGCCATGGAGCAGGAGCAGAAGCTGCAGACACACTCCCTGCCATGGTCCAGGCAGGCCAGCCTTGGGAAGGGCCCCTTACAGTGCAGCCATAGGGGCTAGGGGAGGCCAGGCGGGAGAATCTGGAGCTGACCGCTGCCTTGCTGTTTCAGAGGAAAGCTCCCCAGAGGTAGTACCGGTGGAACTCTTGTGCGTGCCTTCTCCTGCCTCTCAAGGGGACCTGCATACGAAGCCTTTGGGGACTGACGATGACTTCTGGGGCCCCACGGGGCCTGTGGCTACTGAGGTAGTTGACAAAGAAAAGAACTTGTACCGGTGAGTGAGGGGGCTCTGCTGGTCCCAGGCTGGCCTCCCGCACCCCACTGCCCATCCTGGGTCCCCACAGACAGTCAGCGCCACCCCCTACCCCCAACTCACACTCACCACTGGGTCCCCTCCTCTTGCCAAGACAACAGGCAGAGACAGGGCTGAGACACTGGGTGTCTGCTTTTCATATGGAAAAAGATGTTTTCTTATGAAACTTAAAATTTTCAAACATATACAAAAATAGTACAAGGAGCTTCCATGTACCCATCACCCAGCTTCAGCCACTGTTTTGCCAAATTCGTTTCAGCTGTTCACTTTCCCCCTCTTTGTTATTGTTACAGTATTTTAAATCCAAGACATCGGGTGATTTTACCCTTAAATATTTCATTACGCATCTCAAAAAACAAAAATAAAAACCTTTTCTTCCATAACATAACTACAATGCCAATATCACATCTGACAAAGCTGGCAGTAAGTCTTTCATTTCATCTACTCCCCAATCCATATTCAAATTGCTCAATTGTCTAAAACATGTTCTTATAGTTGGTGTTGTGGTTTGGTTGGGTTTGGTTTGATTTGGTTTTGAGACAGAGTCTTGCTCTGTCACTCAGGCTGGAGTGCAATGGCACAATCTTGGCTTACCTCAACCTCCACCTCCCAGGTTCAAGCGATTCTCCAGCCTCAGCCTCTCTAGTAGCTGGGACTACAGTCACATGCCACCACGTGTGAAAAATGAAAATTGTATTTTTAGTAGAGATGGGGGTTTCACCATATTGGACAGGCTGGTCTCGAACTCCTGACCTCAGACGATCCACCTTCCTCAGCCTCCCAAAGTGCTGGGATTACAGGCGTGAGCCACCGCGCCTGGCCAGTTGGTGTGTTCTTATCAGGATCCAAACAAGGTCCACTCATTTTATTTTCTTTGTTATATTTCTTAAATCTCACTTAACTCTCTTAATCTGTATGCTCCTGTTTTATTAACAGCCACTAATGAGCTAAGGACTGTACTAGTAGCTGGGGACCCTAAGATGAATATGGCAGCCCTGCCCTCCCAGGGCTTACAGTCGCACTAGTAGTAATTCTCTATAGTCATACTCATGATCTCTTATATAACATGTTACCACTCACCAAACACTGCCACAGACATCATCTCAACCAGGAGACAGCGTCACTCCCAGCTCACACCTACAGAAGCTGGGGCATCCCGGGACCCACTATTAACCCACCTGAGGAGCCTTGGGAAAATCACTTCTGATCTCTATAAAAGTGTTGTTTCCAATTCTAAGGGTTTAGCATTAATATTAGCACATACGGCCAGGCATAGTGGCTCATGCCTATAATCCCAGCACTTTAAGAGACCGAGGCAGGAGGATCACTTGAGTCCAGGAGTTCAAGGCCAGCCTGGACAACATGGCAAAACCTTGTGTCTACAAAAATTACCAAAAAAATTAGCTGGACGTGGTGACATGTACCTGTAGTCCTAGCTACTCAGGGAGCTGAGGTGGAAGAATTGCCTAAGCCAGGGATTTCGAGGCTGCAGTGAACCAAGATCGGGCCACTGCGCTCCAGCCTGGGCAACAGAGTGAGACCATATTTCCATAGATTAGATAGATAGATAGATAGATAGATAGATAGATAGATAGATAGATAGATAGATTAGATAGATTAGATAGATAGATAGATAGACAGACAAGACAAGACAGATAATCTTAGCACATATATTGTTATTAATTATTGCTAAATAGGCCCCTTACATATACGAACACTTGTTATTTCATCATTACCATCATTGCCATCATCAACATAGTAGAAACAGTTCACAGCTCCCAGGCGTGTACTAAGCTGTGAGCATGCATTAAGTCACTTATTCTCGTAACTAGGAGATGGGAGCTATAATTACTCCTACTTACAGATGAGGAAACCAAAAACAGGAAGGTTAAATGACTTGCTCAGGGATCCACAGTCAAGAGCAGAAGAGCCAGGACTAAAATGCAAGTCCATCTGATTCCGAAGTCTGGGCTTGAAGCCACTGTACCGTATCCGCAAGCCCCTGCATGGGGTCTGGCATCCAGCAGGTGCTCAGTGAGTTCGTGCAGTAAGTGTCTGCCTCTCCCTCTTCTTCCCAGAGTTCACTTCCCTGTAGCTGGCTCCTACCGCTGGCCCAACACGGGTCTCTGCTTTGTGATGAGAGAAGCGGTGACCGTTGAGATTGAATTCTGTGTGTGGGACCAGTTCCTGGGTGAGATCAACCCACAGCACAGCTGGATGGTGGCAGGGCCTCTGCTGGACATCAAGGCTGAGCCTGGAGCTGTGGAAGCTGTGCACCTCCCTCACTTTGTGGCTCTCCAAGGTAAACAACAGGGAAGGATAGGGAGGAAGGTGGTGGTAATTATGGGCCTGAAAGGGAGTGTAGAATGATAATCTCCTGGGAGAGGGTGTTGTGGCTTCCTTAGAGGGGCCGAGGGGGGGTTATGGAGATGGGGACTAAGATTTTCCTGCATTCCACTCTTCTCTGGACTTATCTTTTTGAAACACATCTCCCAGCCTCATAATTATATCTGCCTAAACTTACTTGAAAGTTTTTATTAAGTGTCATTTATATAGACTGTATCACTCAAGGTCCCAGCAGGAAAGAGATGATATGCTCAGTTGAGATTTTTGAAGAAGCTTTTCAAAGACAGGACCATTTACAAAGTAAGGCTAAGTGAACTAACGAAGAATGTTGGGGCAACAGGGACTAGCAACAATAGGAAGCCATCACTACTCCTACAGGCAGGGAGAAGAAACAGTGTCATCAGACGCCATCTGAGAGCTGGAGCCATGAAACAGGGGCTTCCCATAGAAGATAGTAATCACAAAGTATGATTTTATGTCACCTCCAAAGACTTCCCACAGAGTTCCAAGAAATATCAGCTAACAGTCAAAAATCTCACAAAGGGGAAACAAGGCACCAGAAGTAAGAGCCAGCAGAAACGACAGATACCAGAATCAGTCCCTTAAATCCTTCAGATGCTGAAATTATCAGAAAAAGAACATAAAATAAGTGTGTATAATATGACCAAAAAAAAAAAAGTAACCTTAAAACTATCAGCAAAAAGCAATGAACCATTAAAAATGACAAATCAAAGTTGGAAACTAAATTGACTAAAAAAAATGAAAAAACAAGGCCGGGCGCAGTGGCTCACGCCTGTGATCCCAGGACTTTGGGAGGCCGAGGAGGGCGGATCACGAGGTCAGGAGATTGCGACCATCCTGGCTAACACAGTGAAACCCCGTCTCTACTAAAAATACAAAAATTAGCCGGGCGTGGCGGCAGGCGCCTGTAGTCCCAGCTACTCGGAAGGCTGAGGCAGGAGAATGGCGTGAACCCAGGAGGTGGAGCTTGCAGTGAGCCAAGATCGCACCACTGCACTCCAGCCTGGGCCACAGAGCGAGACTCTGTCTCAAAAAAAAAAAAAAAAGAATAAACAATCAAGTAACTTGTAGGATACCATGATAAGTCCTAATATATATCTAAATGGAATTCCAGAAAGATAAGATAGAAGGGAAAAAAATAGAATATTCAACAAGACAATTGCAAACAAATTTCTGGAAGTATTGAGACATATGAGACTTCTCAGAATGAGAATCCCCAAAACTGCAATGCAGGAAAGAGAGAGAGAAGGGAGAGAAAAAATCAAGATTAGTCTCATTAATGTGAAACTACAGAATAAGAAAGTATGAGGGAAAGCCTTGACATCAGCCAGAAAGAAAGGGTTATAGGTGTGAGCCACTGTGCCCAGCCAATGTCTGTCAATTTAGTGAGCAAGTTAGAAGAATCTGATGTGTCCCCATGTCAAATCATGACTCCAATAGAAGCTTCATTTAATTGCTGATAAAATGATTTGATAAACAATTTATGTTATAGCTTACATCAGTTATAAGCACTTTTATGATTTGTACAGTTTAGCTAGATATTAAATGGGTTTTTAATATTTTTTCTTGTCTTAATTTCTTTATTTCCCAGGAATAGAGGTAAATGAGAATTTATTTTTAATTTCTCATTTGTTAGTTGATATGTTGTAGTATCATCCCAGTAGTTCAATGTATTTTTAGTATCACCTCAAAATAAAGGTATTAACTTTACAGTATGCATATATTAAGGTAATCAAGGCATATATATAAGAAAAATTATTTAGAAGCTAGTAGAAAGAGAAAAATCAAATGAGAAAAATAAAAAGCAGGGAACTGCTCAGTACCCAGAACCAGGAAAGTCTTGTTTGTTGAGGCCACAAAAGTTCAGTAAACAATTCAAGCTGCACACCAGGAGGAGAGCATGGGGCAGGGAAATAGAGTCCCGGGGGCCTCAGGATCCCTGGGGCACCTGGTTGAACAGTCAGGGTCATATGGGCATTCCCTAGGGAAGGTCCCAGACTAAAACAGAATAGAGGGAAGAGGTGCAAGACAGCTCTGGAATTGTAGAGGTCCATTTAGAAAGGAAGAGATTGAGGAGAGGAAACTGATGGCTGAAACAAGAAGCTGGGACAAGTTACTTGTTCCCACCGGGCAATCTATAGAGTAATGAACACAGCCACTACCACAACCAGCCTGCCTCTTCCACAAGTGAGACCGTGGCCAGGGATCCCCAGGTACTCTATCAAGAAGAGAGGGGCCTGGCTAATAGAGTCAGTGGGCTCAGCTCTGTCGTAGCTCTGCCCATGACCAGCAGCAAAAGAACTTGGCTTGCCCCAACCTGGGATGCTCAGGGCTGCACCACCACTCCCTGCTCTAACCAGGGTATTCCAGGAGAAACCTCATGCAGCTAAGGTCTGGAGCCAGAATGTACCACCAGGGCCCGAGGGGACAAAGTCTGCCTTCAGGTCCTGCTCCAGCGCCCCCTCATTCCCCACTCTCAGAGGTGGATGAGCTGGCCCTCCCCATTGTGAGGACTCCCAGGCCATGCCCTGCTCAGTCTCCTGCGTGCATCAAGTGGGCCTGGGAGACGGGATTTGTCCAAGGAATTGGGTGACCCTCCGAGTGCACAGGCATCTAGCTGAAGCCTGCCAGGCTGACAGCCAAATCAGAATAGGAATGAATTCACTGTGCTTGTGGCACTGTCCTTTGTGGCACTGGAACTTGGCCAATAAGAACTGTGAACAATAACTGAGCATCCTGTGCCTGGAACCATGCAAGGTAGTTCCGTATATATTAATATCATCTCTTTTTTCATAATGAACCGGGAAATTAGGCACTACAGTTTTCCCTTGGTGTACCAGTGAGGAAACTGAAGCCGAGAGAGGTGAAGACCCTCTTCCAGAGTTGGGATTCTATCCCAAGTCCTGTTTATCCCAGGCTAAGAGCTACACCCCTACCCCTCCCCAGTCCTGCCCAAGCCCATGTCCCACTAGCCTTCTCTAGACCAAATTCTGAGCCTCACCTTGTGGCCAGATAGGATTTACTCCCTTTGGACTCCGTACACAAGCTTGTACAACCTGCGGCCTGTGGGCCACATGCGGCCCAGGATGGCTTTCGATGAAGCCCAACGTGAATTCGTAAACTTTCTTAAAACATTATGAGACTTTCTTGCGAATTTTTTAAAGCTCACCAGCTATCATTAGTGTTAGTATATTTTACATGTGTGGCCCAAGACAATTCTTCTTCTTCCAATGTGACCCAGGGAAGCCAAAAGATTGGACACCCCTGCCACAGAACAAGAGGCAAAATGCACAGAGGCTGCTTTTAGCTAGCTGTGACCAGCCAGGAAACCAATCCCTGGGGCCGGGCAGGGCCCCTTCCAGAAATGCTTGCTGCCTGCTGTCTGGGCTGCAGCTGTTCATTGCCCTGGAAACGATGACCTCACTGCCTGACACAGGGTCTGATTTAGGACTTGGGCACTGGTGCTTCATCACTGTCGTCGCTGAACGGGTGATGAGTCATTAACTTTCCATGGTGAGTTTTCTCCCACTATAGCTAGAGCTTGAGGCTTTCAGCCTCTCAGCTTCATCACCGTGGCAATGGGCATTCTCACCCTCCTGCAGGACCAGCTCCAGCAGTCATAGGGCCCAGCACAAAATGAAAGCGCGGAGCTCTTCATTCAAAAATGATTAAGAATGTCAAGACCACCAAACATGAAACCAAGCACCAAGCCCTGCTGAGCTCAGGACCCTGTGTGACTGCACAGGCCACACATCCATGAAGCTGGCCTTGTCCTTCGGGTCCTTCGTTCCCCCACCCACCCATCTCCTTCAGCACACACAGACCTCTGCTCTCCACACAACCCTCCCTCCAAGAGGAAGTGAGTTCCCTCATTTTTGTCACACTTGCTCCTCTCTGTGCTGCCTGTGGGAACAAGAACACTTCACACAGACACCTGAGTGGGGTCTCGCCCCATTCCCACTCCCTCCCCCTGCCCACCTACTCAGGAGTTCAACCAGATGAGATGGCTGGAAACCACAGTGGTATCCCTCAGGCCTCAAAACTGTTGTCTTCCTGGAACCAACACTTACTGAATCGTATAACAATATAGAGTCCCAAAACTCAGATTAAGCAAAATGGATATTCAAAATACCTTAGTGGCTGGGTGCAGTGGCTCACACCTGTAATTCCAACACTTTGGGAGGCAGAAACGGGAGGATGACTTGAGCCCAGGAGTCTGAGACAAGCCTGGGCAACATAGTGAGACCCCATCTCCACAAAAAAATATTGAAGAATTAGCCAGGCATGGTGGTGCGCACCTGTAGTTCCAACTACTCAGGAGGCTGAGGTGAGAGGAGCACTTGAGCCTGGAAGGTCAAGGCTACAGTGAGTCATGATCGTGCACTGCACTCCAGCCTGGGTGACAGAGCAAGACTCTGTCTCAAAAAAAAAAAAAATTTAGTAGCTTTTTCTTCCCAGACCCCAAGAGTTACCAAGAGGACTGGGCCGAGTTGTTTGAGGAAGAAACAGAAGGAACCACCACAGCCAGGTGGATAGATTGGTCAAGCTGCATTTTATCTGTAATACGAGCAAGTGGTCCTTATTATCCCCAGGGCTTTATAGACACAAACCCAGTCAATCTGCACAGTGACACCGGGAGGGGGATGCTGTTATCAGCCCCACTTTACAGATGATGCACAGAGAGGGCAAGTAATCTGCTCAGAGTCCCACAGTTGGTAAGAACCCTTGCTGGGAGTCAAAGCCAGGCAGTCCCTATCATTTAGCTGCTCTGCTAGACAACCCTCTAGTGCCCTACCTTCATGTGATGTGGGTCCCACTGTCCCTGCTTGAGTAGGAGAGCCACTGTGCCCCTCAACAGCTCACCTGAGCCTGGAAGGTGCTGACCACACACACTCAGCAGGAAGGGCACGGCCAGGCATCAGGCCACAGGCCCAAGGGCAGCATCTAAAGGAGGGAGAGTCCCCAGGCTCCTGGACAGCAGGAGCAGCAATGTCCCAAGGCAAACACCGGGCATGCGGCTGGGAAAGGAGGAAGGAGCTGACAGGCTTCCATTGGCGGAGCACTTGTCATGCTTTGAGCCATTGTTCTATTTGCTGTCTGTATTCCCCATTGGGCCACAAGCTCTGGAATTGCAGTGCCCATGTCTTTCCTGTTCACAGCTACATCCACAGGGGCTGGCACATTGTCCGTACTCAGTAAGCTTTTGTGTAATAAGCAGATGCAAAGCCCTGGACCCCAGACCCACAGAAACATGCCTACCTCATGATAGCTTTTTCTAAATTTTTCTGGTGCAACCAGCCAAAGGCAGCGTAGGTCTTTCTGCCAGTGAGACTTCCTCCAGTCAACACTCAACCTTCTTCTCCTTCAGACCACAGTCTTCCCCATTGCTTCCCTTCTCTCTCCAATCTATCAGCACAAATATACTGTCAGGTTTGGATGAGGTGACTCTACCACAATCTATGGAAAGGGCAGTATGTGCAAGAAGGGGGGTGACCAGCTCATCTTAACACTGACAGTCCTGCACCCCCAGGAGCCCTCTCGGTCCTGGGCAAGCATGGACAGTTGGTCACCCTAGCAAGAAGGTAAGTTGGAGACACCCAGCACCTTCTGGAATTCAGCAAAAATTCAAGTGGCACCGAGCGTCTGTTAGTGCTCCAGACTGTGGTCAGAATCCTGGGATCTGGTCCTAGGACCATGGCTGGTTGTGTGGCCTTGGAAAAAGCACTTTCCTCCCAGGATTTCAGCTCCCTCAACTGACATGTGAAGACATTCCAGTGCTTTGGAGGTCAGGATGAGACCATCCATTTAGTGCCAGTGATGGCAACGCAAACCAGCATCGCCTCTTGGAGAAGCAACTGGGGAGTGAAGGAGGTCATACCATCTCACACGCTTTCCTCATCCCTTGGTACTGATTGATTTCAAGGCAATAACACAAGGGAAATAGAAGCTTTCTGCAGAATATGTGCATTGCAGGTGCTATTTATCATGGTGAAAAGTTGGAAGCAAACTCAACACTGAAATGAGAAACAGGCTGAATCACAGGGTGGTGCATCCACTAGCAGGGATCATATACTGTGGTAATTAAATGGTCTGACATCCTTGCAGCAAGTTAAACTGTCACAGGAAACAAGAGACAAAGTATCATGGACTACAATAAAAATAGGAAAAGGTGTTGCCGCAGAGAAAGACTGTAATGCAGGCGTCCCATGCTAAGAATAGTTATACTGTGGCCAGGCGCGGTCTGGGAGGCCGAGGCAGGTGGATCACCTAAGGTCAGGAGTTCAAGACCAGCCTGGCCAACATGGTGAAACCCCATCTCTACTAAAAAGCCAGGCGCAGTGGTGCATGCCTGTAGTCCCAGCTACTCGGGAGGCTGAGGCATGAGAATCACTTCAACCCAGGAGGCGGAGGCTGTGGTGAGCCAAGATCACACCACTGTACTCCAGCCTCGGTGACAGAGCTAGACTCCGTGTCAAAAATAAAAAAAGAATAGTTGTATTGTTTGATTGGTAAGATTCATAGGTGAATTCTTCCTCATTTTTTCAGATGATAGATACCACTGTGACTTTATTTTCATCCCAAAAACGCAGTTAAATGACAAAACTTAAGTAATGGTCTTCATGGACCCTTCTGGGATTGACATCTGACTAAGGGCTTTGTCCAGCTTGCTGGATGCCTTGTTGCCCAGAAACCACTTGCATTGCAGCAGTTACCAGGCAATGCAGGGATGGAGCTGGGACCTCTGATCCCTAGGCCAGTGTCTCTCCCATTACCAGTATTCATCCCTCAAGCTCTCTTGTAACTTCAATGTCCTTGCCTGGCGCTGGTCAGAGACTGCAATCAAAGGTACCAATTCTGGCTGATTTAAGCAGAAAAGGGATACATTGAAAGGTTATTGACTAACTCATAGACTTAGCAAAAGGTTATGCAACAAATCTAAGCGGGGGGGAAGATAGTGACCCAATGACTCAGAGAAACCAAGGGCAGAGCCAAGGTCACATCAGGAAAATACGGAGACAGGCGGCAGAAAATACGGAGACAGCTACTGTAGGACCCTCCTGCCCAGGAGCCACTGGGCTCTTTTTCTTTCTTTCTGGTATTTTGTTTTTTGTTTTTTGTTTTTTGTTTTTGAGACAGGGTCTCACTCTGTCACCCAGGCTAGAATGCAGCAGCACACTCATAGCTCATTGCAACCTTGAACTTCTGGGTTCAAGTGATCCGCCCACCTCAGCCTCCTAAGTAGCTGGAATTATGAGTGTGCACCACCACACCTGCCTCTCACTGGACTCTTCACCCAACTGCTACTGCCAGAATTCTCTCTCTCTGCATCTGTTTCACCCCTCTAGACTTGAGGTCCCAGTTAGAGACAACCACTTAGTCAAGTCTTGGTCACACACCTGTGTCCTTGCTGCCAGGGAGTAGTAGCATCCTGAGTGGGGGGCTTGGCTTGCCTCCTGCCAAGACCCACACAGTGCTGGAGGAGGAGGCTCTTCCTAAAAAGAAGAGTTTGAATAGTGAGTGGCCAAACACCTTGGTCACTCTATGTTCCTACTGCCCCTTCCTCCTCCTTGTTCTCTACCTGCCTAGTCAAACCTTCCAGCATCACTCAATGGTCTCTCATAGAGAATCCACACCAGCACAGGCAACTAGAGGTTCTATATCTTTCCCAGCTCCAGGGCCAGGGGCTGGGTTTGCGTATAAGTTTGGCTCAAGGGTGATCCTTGAGCTCCACTTAGGAGTTCAGCACTGCTAAGTGCTCCCACCTGGTGGCACAATTTCCCACAGCCTCCAAAGGCCCCAGGCCTAGAAATGCCCTCTTCCCCATGCTGGGTGTCTTAGCCTGTTCAGGCTGCTATAACAAAATACCATAAACTAGGTAGCTTGTAAATAACAGAAATTTGTTTCTCACAGTTCTGGAGCCTGGTAAGTCCAAGATCAAGGCGCCAGCAGATTTGGTGTGTTGGTGAGGCCCATTCCTCATACATGGAGCCTTCTAGCTGTGTCCTCACAGGGTGGAAGGGACAAGCAAGCTCCCTTGAGTCTCTTTTGTAAGGGCACTAATCCCATTCATGAGAATTCCACCCCCATGACCTAATCACCTCCCATAAAAGCTTCACCTCTTAATACCATCACCTTGGGGGTTAGAATTTCAACATATGAATTGTAGGAGGACACAGACATTCAAGACCATAGCACTGGGCTCCCCCAAGAGGGTACCTGAGCCTAAGCCCTGGGATCCTACAGTGCCAGCAAATCCTGACTCAGTAACAACACTAAATCTAGGCCTCTTGGGCTGGATGCAGCGGCTCACGCCTGTAATCCCAGCACTTTGGGAGGCCGAGGCAGGCGGATCACCTGAGGTCAGGAGTTCAAGACCAACCTGGCCAACATAGTTAAACCCCATCTCTACTAAAAATACAAAAATTAGCTGGGCATGGTGGCAGGCGCCTGTAATCCCAGCTACTCGGGAGGCTGAGGCAGGAGAATCGCTTGAACCCAGGAGGCGGAGGTTGCAGTGAGCCGAGATTGTACCATTGCACTCCAGCCTGGGCGACAAGAGCGAAACTCTGTCTCAACAAAATAAATAAATAAAAATAAACCTGTGCCTCTTCAATCCATTCTTTTACAGGGGGCCATGTGGACACATCCCTGTTCCAAATGGCCCACTTTAAAGAGGAGGGGATGCTCCTGGAGAAGCCAGCCAGGGTGGAGCTGCATCACATAGTTCTGGAAAACCCCAGCTTCTCCCCCTTGGGAGTCCTCCTGAAAATGATCCATAATGCCCTGCGCTTCATTCCCGTCACCTCTGTGGTGTTGCTTTACCACCGCGTCCATCCTGAGGAAGTCACCTTCCACCTCTACCTGATCCCAAGTGACTGCTCCATTCGGAAGGTGACACTAAGAGCCAGAAAGGCTGGGCCACGGTGGGTTGACGGTAAACACAAAATGCAGCCAGAGAGCCCCCTAGAGGGTCTTCAACTGGGACCAAGGATGGGCCTCTTGTACAGGAGAACCTTGAAGTGGGCAAACAATTCGTCCCCTCTCAGTCTTGGACTGGTCTCCTGCCTCTCCAAGGTATCCCCCTGCTAGGTTCATTGATCAATCACTGATCTTTGGACAGTTTCTTACGGCCCCTGTCCAGGAATCAAAGGATTGGAGTCCTCCATGCCTAAAACTGTAGCCTTTCCTCATTCTAACTTCCCTAACAATAACCCTATTCCTATCCTGAAGACATCAAAGACCAAGTGCGGGCTGTCTCTGTAGCAGTGCATGGGGGGAGGGAGGCAGGGGTGATATAGCCCCACTCTGTCCACACAAACACACAGATGCACCATCCCCCCTATTCAAACCACATTCCACGGGGCAGAAGCCTCCCTTAATCATTGTTCCCTATGTTCTGTAGGCCATAGATGATCTAGAAATGAAATTCCAGTTTGTGCGAATCCACAAGCCACCCCCGCTGACCCCACTTTATATGGGCTGTCGTTACACTGTGTCTGGGTCTGGTTCAGGGATGCTGGAAATACTCCCCAAGGTGAGCAGCCCAGTGTCTGCCTCTTCACTGCGAACAGAAGTCCTACCTGGGAATGAATGCCTGTGGGGCAGGTCTCAGGGCTTTCTCAGGGACAGGATAAATCGAGGTTGAACAGAAAGTGAGTGGGATTTAGAGAAAGTGGGAATGCTTCCAAGACTAGGAGAAAGAAAGTTCGGAGGAGGGAGGATCACATGCAGGATGTGAAGGATGATGGGGTTTGACTTGGGGGCACTGGGAAGTGTTTGGGCTATAGGTCATCAATGTCCTTCAGTCCAGACCACCAGGAACAAACCTGTAGTTGAACATACTGGCTTTATTAATCATTGCAGTGGCAGAACACATATTATGGGGAACCATGGGGTGTCTCAGTAAAGGGTGTTTGAAAGAATCTGCTATAGGATTTGGGCCTTGGTTGCATACATTTGAGGAAGATCTAAGGAAACGAAGATTTTCTTTAGATTGGGTGTTGGTTCAGGCCACACGGAGATTTGTGGAAGAACATTTCAGGCAGAAGGAATGTGTGCAGAGGCATAGAGGTGGGAGCAAGCTTGACGCCTCCAGATGACAAAAAAGAGGTCAGTATAGCAAAAGATGAGTCAGATTAGAGGCAGGGTCTTACCAGGCCTCATCTGCCCTGTTGGCCCTGGTATGCACTTTGCACTTTGTTCTAAGTGCAATGGCAAGCTTTTGAGGGTCATAAACAGCTAATACAAGACCTGATTTACAGCCAGGCGCGGTGGCTCACGCCTGTAATCCCAGCATTTTGGGTACCGAGGTGGGCAGATCACTTGAGGTCAGGAGTTCGAGACCAGCCTGGCCAACATGGTGAAACCCTGTCTCTACTAAAAATACAAAAATTAGCTGGGTGTGGTGGTGTATGCCTGTAATGCCAGCTACTCAGGGGGCTGAGGCAGGAGAATCACTTGAACCTGGGAGGCAGAGGTTGCAGTGAGCCGAGAGTGCACCACTGCACTCCAGCCTAGGTGATAGAGCAAGACTCTGTCTCAAAAAAAAAAAAAAAAAAAAAAAAAAGACCTGATTTACTTTCATAAAGATGCCTCTGGCTGCTGGGTGAGAACGAATGATAAGCAGGCAAGAGTGAAAGCAGAGAGACAAGTCAAAAGGCCATTATGGGCCAGGCGCAGTGGGTCACGCCTATAATCCCAGCACTTTGGGAGACCAAGGCGGGTGGATCACCTGAGATCAGGAGTTTGAGACCATCCTGACCAACATAGTGAAAACCTGTCTCTACTAAAAATACAAAAAATTAGTGGGGCATGGTGAGAGGCACCTGTAATGCCAGCTACTCGGGAGGCTGAGGCAGGAGAATTGCTTGAACCCGGGAGGCAGAGGTTGCAGTGAGCCAAGATCACCCCCCCTGCACTCCAGTGTGGGCTACAAGAGCAAAACTCTGTCTAAAAAAAAAAAAAAAAAAGGCCAGGTGTGGTGGCTCACTCCTGTAATCGCAGCACTATGGGAGTTCAAGGCAGGCAGATCACCTAAGATCAGGAGTTCCAGACCAGCCTGGCCAAGATGGCAAAACCCAGTCTCTACTAGAAATACAAAAATTAGCCGGGAGGGCCGGGTGTGGTGGCTCAAGCCTGTAATCCCAGCACTTTGGGAGGCTGAGGCGGGCGGATCACAAGGTCAGGAGATCGAGACCATCCTGGCTAACACAGTGAAACCCCATCTCTACCAAAAATACAAAACTTTAGCCGAGCGTGGTGGTGGGTGCCTGTAGTCCCAGCTACTTGGGAGGCTGAGGTAGGAGAATGGCATGAACCTGGGAGGCGGAGGTTGCAGTGAGCCAAGATTGTGCCACTGTGCTCCAGCCTGGGCGACAGAGCGAGACTCCGTCTCAAAAAAAAAAAAAAATTAGCCGGGAGTGGTGATGGGCACCTGTAAACCCTGATACTCAGGAGGCTGAGGCAGGAGAATTGCTTGAACCTGGGAGGTGGAGTTTGCAGTGAGCCGAGATCGTGCCACTGCACTCCAACCTGGTCAACAGAGCAAGACCCTGTCTCAAAAAAAAAAAAAAAAAATGCTGTTGTGGTTGGGTACAGTGACTTTCGCCTGTAATTCCATCACTTTGGGAGGCCATAGTGGGAGAATCACTTGAGGCCAGTAGCTCAAGACCAACCTGGGCCATGTAGGGAGACCTCATCTCTATGAAAAATGAAAAAATGAGTATGGTGATGCACGCCTGTAGTCCCAGCTACTCAGGAGGCTGAGGCACTTGAGCCCAGGAGTTCAAGTCCAGCCTGGGCAACATGGAAAAACCCCATCTCTCTTTAAAAAAAAAAAAAAAAGAAACAAAAAAGAAAAAGAGAAAAAAACAAAAGGCTGTTGCAATACTGCAAGCTACAGTTGAAGGTCACTTGACTAGGAAGGTAGCGAGGGAGATGGAGAAAAGTATATGAATTCAGGGTTGATTTTGAAGGCAGAGCCAACAGGACCTGCTGGATTGCCTGTGTAGGGAAGGACTTAAGCATGATTCCGAGTTTGGAGCCTGCATGCTCAGTGGATGGTCCTATCCTTTACTGAGTTTGGGGAAACTGGAAAGGGAGCATGTTTGGAAGACAGTGGGGAATCAAGAGTTCTGTCTTAGCTGGGATTTAGGAAAGGGGATGGATATAAATTTTTGTCAATCGACAGTGGGTGGAGTTTAGGGTCCATTGGGAAGACAGGCTTTGGGCTGGAGAAATGAGGGTTTGGATTCAAGATGGGGGAGGTGAAGGAAGAAGGATCTGGCTTAGGATTATGAGCACTACGTTTAAGGACAAGCCCTGACTTACCCGTGAGGTACTCAGTTGTGTCCTCATCCTTCTGTGGAAAATTGGGAAAAGAGCAATGTCTGAAGGTGATGGTTGATTTCAGTACAGGGATCATCAGAGTGTCCTTATGGAGCCAAGCAGGGCCAAGAAGGTGTCAGGTGGGGAAAGACCTTCCATGCAAGATGAACAGGGTGGCAACTCAACTCTTTGCCTCTTCAGGAACTGGAGCTCTGCTATCGAAGCCCTGGAGAAGACCAGCTGTTCTCGGAGTTCTACGTTGGCCACTTGGGATCAGGGATCAGGCTGCAAGTGAAAGACAAGAAAGATGAGACTCTGGTGTGGGAGGCCTTGGTGAAACCAGGTAAATCCAGGACAATTCCAGAGAACTCAGAGGTGGGAGGAGAAAGAAAATCAATGAAGGAGCTGGGCACAGTGGCTCACGCCTGTAATCCCAGAACTTTGGGAGGCCGAGGCAGGCAGATCACAAGGTCAGGAGTTCAAGACCAGCCTGGCCAATATGGTGAAACCCCATCTCTACCAAAAGTACAAAAATTAGCCAGGCGTGGTAGCGCGTGCCTGTAGTCCCAGCTACTCAGGAGGCTGAGGCAGAAGAATCGCTTGAACCCAGGAGGCGGAGGTTGCAGTGAGCTGAGATCGCACCACTGCACTCCAGCCTGGACAAAAGAGCAAGACTGCAATCCAAAAAAAAAGAAAAAGTCAATGGAAGAAAGTCTGTGTATGTGGGAGGGGGGGGGGTGCAGAGTGCACTATCACAGTTTATTGATGAGAAGAAATAGCCCACAGGAGGTAGGAGGTAGGTGGCTTTCTCAAGTTACATAACAGTTGTTATGACTAGAATTTAAACTTGACTCAATCTGACCCTCTAAAATTTATGTTCTCTCCCATGCACAATGGTGTCTTCACAGTGCCCTTGAATTAACAGATGTCGACATACACAAAGCTTTTAGCTAAGTTTCTCATGATAGTTTGGGTGTGAGGTGGAAGAATAAGACCTAGATAGTCATATGGTCGTATGGGTTAAACCGATTTGGCAATTTCAGATACTCTCCCCTGTATCGCTCAGTATTTTTGAGGTAGGCAAGAGGAAATCAAATAATAAATTTTCTGGGATAGAGAAAATTTATGGACTCTTAGTCTAGTACCAACAATCTAAGAACCCAAACCCCCAAACAGTCCTTCTAGGACAACCATCCCTAGTCAGCTCTCAAAAAATGGTGAATCTACCTCTGAGCTGCAACAAGCTGGCTTCACAGTGTAGTGGAAAGAGGATGGGCTTTACTGAATCCTGGCTTGGGTGCAACCACAGATGGAGAACTAACCAGCCCCAGCTTCAGACCTGGATTCAAATCCCACTCTGGCACTTACTTGCTGAGTGACCTTGGGAAAATTACTTAATTCATTTGAGTCCCTCGTCTGTAAAAAGAGGATCATAATGACTAATTTGTAGGAATGCTGGAAAGATTAAACAAAGCGATGTCTATACATGCCTCATGCAGTAATCCTTAACAAATCGTAGCAATGTTATCTTTTTCCTCATGTTAAGCCAATCTCTGCCTCTTATCAGTCTTAATTCTGTCCCTTGGAACTCATAGAAAAAGTCTATCTCCTTCCCCTTAAATCTAAAAAGCCATTTAGATTCTCAAAGACTGTGGTCATAGCATTCCTGATGACTCTTGTTATGCAAGTTAGACATCTCAGCTCCTTCCATCATTCCTCTTCTATTTTGGTTTGTAAATTCTTTGCCATCCAGTCACCTCCCTCAGTAGATGCTCCAGTGTGGGAATGAGTCAGAATTGACCCCTGGACTGTCCAGTCAGCAGAGAGCATGTAAACACCCTCCTTTCTCCACCTACATGGACCCGGTGCTCCTGGTACCACAACCTGAACTCCCTCCCCTGTGCCCACCTCCCTGAACTGTGAGATCACACTGAACTTAGAGCCTGCTCAGACTCTCAGGCCTTGTACATGCGAGCTGCTGTGAACTTCCCCTTTCTCTCCTTTGCAAAGCAATTTTTAAGTCCCTTCATTTTTGTCGTTGTCTGTTTTTTCTGTTAAAATTAATTTGTTATTCCCATGTCCTAAGATTGCTTGATCTTGATTCTAGATTCTGACATCCAAATCCAGAACGTACACCTTTGGTTGGTGCCAGTCTAGAAGGCTAAACAAGAACAAGGAAGTAGATTTCTGCTCAGACAAGGAGGTGCTAAATAGTTCAAGCTATCTAGCAAGGGGTTTGGTTAGTTCACCAGGGATACAATTCAGGCCAACACGGGATTAAAACCAAGTCTGGGATGTTATAGGAGAAATTGCTATCGCTCATTTGGATGTCTTCTATTACTGTATGATCACAGCTTCTGAGCCTCAGTTTCCCCATATGCATAAGGAAGGGATTCACCTAAATAACCTCTAAGGACCCTTCCAGCTCTTACTCCAGATTCTACCAGAATTTGTCTGTGGCTTTTTTCTAAATCAAAGAATCTCAGAAGTGAGTGGGAGCTTGGAGGTGTACCATGTGTGTTAATAACTTAGCACTGTTTCAGATGCATCTTCATCTCTGTTTTCCTCCAGGAGATCTCATGCCTGCAACTACTCTGATCCCTCCAGCCCGCATAGGTCAGTAACAGCTCTCAGAGACCACAGGAGGCGGTGGCAGTTCTGGGGTACTGTCTGGTTCTGGGGGAAGGGAAGAGAGAAAGGAAGGGACTCATCACTGCAAACCTCACAAAGAGTCAGGCCCTGGAGAGCGGTGCATGGTCGCTCCCCATACCCCCTTGTCCTATCCACAGAGACCCTAGAATTCCTTATCTGACAGCCTCCAATGTGCCCAGCAGGAACCCCACTCCCGATCCCCACTCTGGCAGAATGCCAAGCTAGATGCTGCCATGAGGGAGGACACAGGTGCATTTCTGGAGGCAGAAGGAAGCGAGGGATGCAGAGATGAGAGAGGAAAGCACTGAAGGTGGGGATTGGAGGTGGAGGCTGTGGTTGGAGCCCTTCTTTGTTCGTTGCCAGCCGTACCTTCACCTCTGGATGCCCCGCAGTTGCTGCACTTTGTGGACCAGTATCGAGAGCAGCTGATAGCCCGAGTGACATCGGTGGAGGTTGTCTTGGACAAACTGCATGGACAGGTGCTGAGCCAGGAGCAGTACGAGAGGGTGCTGGCTGAGAACACGAGGCCCAGCCAGATGCGGAAGCTGTTCAGCTTGAGCCAGTCCTGGGACCGGAAGTGCAAAGATGGACTCTACCAAGCCCTGAAGGAGACCCATCCTCACCTCATTATGGAACTCTGGGAGAAGGGCAGCAAAAAGGGACTCCTGCCACTCAGCAGCTGAAGTATCAACACCAGCCCTTGACCCTTGAGTCCTGGCTTTGGCTGACCCTTCTTTGGGTCTCAGTTTCTTTCTCTGCAAACAAGTTGCCATCTGGTTTGCCTTCCAGCACTAAAGTAATGGAACTTTGATGATGCCTTTGCTGGGCATTATGTGTCCATGCCAGGGATGCCACAGGGGGCCCCAGTCCAGGTGGCCTAACAGCATCTCAGGGAATGTCCATCTGGAGCTGGCAAGACCCCTGCAGACCTCATAGAGCCTCATCTGGTGGCCACAGCAGCCAAGCCTAGAGCCCTCCGGATCCCATCCAGGCGCAAAGAGGAATAGGAGGGACATGGAACCATTTGCCTCTGGCTGTGTCACAGGGTGAGCCCCAAAATTGGGGTTCAGCGTGGGAGGCCACGTGGATTCTTGGCTTTGTACAGGAAGATCTACAAGAGCAAGCCAACAGAGTAAAGTGGAAGGAAGTTTATTCAGAAAATAAAGGAGTATCACAGCTCTTTTAGAATTTGTCTAGCAGGCTTTCCAGTTTTTACCAGAAAACCCCTATAAATTAAAAATTTTTTACTTAAATTTAAGAATTAAAAAAATACAAAAAAGAAAAAATGAAAATAAAGGAATAAGAAGTTACCTACTCCATAGGCACAGCAGTCCCGACTGGCTGCTGGTTGGCTATTTTTGTGGTTATTTCTTGATCGTGTGCTAAACAAGGAGTGGATTATTCATGAGTTTTCCAGAGAAAGGGGTGGGAATTCCTGGAACTGAAGGTTCTTCCCCCTTTCAGACTACTTAGGGAAACTTCCAGATGCTGCCATGGCGTTCGTAAACTGTCATGGCGCTGGTGGGAATGTCTTTTAGTATGCTAATGTATTAAAATTAGCATATAATGAGCAGCGAGGACAACCGGAGGTCCCTTTCATCACCATCTTGGTTTGATGGGTTTTGGCTTCTTTACCACATCCTGTTTTATACGAGGAGTCTTTGTGAAACCAGTCCTGCCAACCTCCTATCTTATCCCCACCTCAGACATTACATACTCGTCCTTAATCTTAAGAGGTTGTAGAAGGACAGAGATCTATCTTCTGTCACTGCTTCATGCTGAACAGGGGCCATCATCCCTACCTGCTCTGGAGGCATAGAAATGTCTTCGTACCTGATCGAATGACTTATAGGGACTCCATCTTTTCTGCAGTGGCACAGGCTGGAACACTGGACTAATTATTTTTCTCTGAAACTGTTGTAGCCTGGAAGACATAAACTTGAACCGTCCGAACACCTGATGAATATAACAAATATTTTTAAAATCAAATAGCACCTAGTGATAATTCATAAAATACTTAAGCCCAGTTTTAAAGAAGAGATCAAAGCCAAGCATGGTGGCTCATGCATGTAATCTTAACACTTTGGGAGGCCAAGGCAGGAGGATCACTTGAGCTCAGGCTTTTGAGACTAGCCCGGGCAACATAGACTTTGTCTCTTTAAAAAAATAAGAAAGAAAAAAATAAGAGATCAGATGCCATTTGGAATCTAAGTGAATAGGCTGGAAAACTAGTCTTCTGTTGTCTGAAATACAAAGCCAAACAGATTTTTAATAAGAGAGATTTTTATGAGAACAGAAGAAAAAAAGGTTAATGCTGGACACAGTCTATCCAGGTATTAGACTCAAAAGCATCTTTAGTTATAAAGCAGGAAAGTGGTGGCAATCTGACACGCCTGTATCACAAGGTATAAGCTTTAGCTTGCAGGGCCTCAGGAGAAAGCTAGTAGTAATTTTACTGTATGCAGATCTCTAAGCTGGGGGTGACACAGGAGGTGGGCAGGACTGGCTTCACAAGATGCAGGTCACAAAGACTCCACTGATAAGATGCGGTAAAGAAGCTGGCCAAAGCCCACCAAAGCCAAGATGGCAATGAAAGGGACTCCTGGTTGTCCTCACTGCTCATTATATGCTAATTTTCACCCTCCTGTAGGACCAGCTCCAGCAGTTGTGGGACCCAGTGCAAAATGGAAACACAGGGCCCCTCGTTCAAAAATGATAAGAATGTCAAGACGGTGACAACAGAACATGAAATCAAGCGCCAGGCCCTGCTGAGCTCAGGGCTCTGTGTGACCGCACAGGTCACACACCCATGAGACTGGCCTTGTCTTTCGGGTCCTTCACGCCCCACCCACCCATCTCCTTTACCACATGCAGACCTCCACTCTCCACACAACCCTTCCTCCAAGAGGACAGTCAATGGGAAGTAAGAAGATTTAAAAGACAAGGGGCAAAGAAAAATGCAATGGTGTGTTTCCATTGTAGAAAACCTGGTCGTGGAATTGCGGATTGCCCTGCCGCCCTTGAAAATCAAGATATGGGCACTAGAAGATGTTACAAGTGTGGGTCCACAGATCACGAAATAACCAAGTGTAAGGCTAAAGTAGACCCGCCTCTTGGCGAATGTCCTTTTGCAGAATGTTTTGTCTGTGGAGAAATGGGGCACCTGTCTAGATCTTGTCCTGATAATCCCAAAGGACTCTATGCTGATGGTAGTGGTTGCCAACTTCATGGCTCTGTGGAACATTTAAAGAAAGATTGCCCTGAAAGTGAGAATTCAGATCGAATGGCCACAGTTGGTCTGTGGGCAAAGGGAATAAGTGCAGACTATGAAGACATTGTGGATGCACCAAAACCACAAAAACCCAAAACAAAAATACCTAAAGGTGTTAATTTTTGATAACAACTAGTACTGTCATTAGTTACCACCTCATTGTTACTTTCTAAACCAGGCCCACTTCACAAGTTACAGCTGGGCTCCCTTGTAGCCAGGACTATACTGTAAATATCAGTATGATCTGGGTGTGGTCAAAAACAATTTTCAACAGAGAGAAAGAAGAAAGAAGAGAGAGAAAGAAAAAGGAAGAGAAAGAGGAAGAGGAAGGAATGAAGAAAAAGAGGAAGGAAGGAAGGAAAGAGAGAAAGGAAAGAGAAAGAAAGAAGAAAGAGAAAGAGAAAGAAAAAGAAAAGAGAAAGGGAGGGAGGGAAAGAAGGAAGGACCTACGCGAGGAGGGGCTCCGCCAACCCTCTAAGCCCCGCAACCCCCGCATGCCCCGCCTCCTTCTGCAGACCTCCCCGTCCCTCATCCCAGCAAGTCCTCACGTTAGTTGCCGGAAGCCTAGGAAATGTATTCCTAAATCTGGAGTCGTCTCCATGGCAGCGAGCCCCGAAGTGGAGCCAGTCTTGGAGTAGGAGAAAGGCCAGACACAAACAAGTGTGTGGGGATGGGGGAGACACACATGCATGTCCGCTTTGGATCCAGATTCTCTTTTTTTTTTTTAGACGGAGGCTCGCTCTGTCGCCCAGGCTGGAGTGCAGTGGCGCAATCTCAGCTCACTGCACTCACTGCAACCTCCACCTCCCGGGTTCAAACGATTCTCCTGCCTCAGCCTCCCGAGTAGCTGGGATTACAGGCGCCCACCACCACACCCGGATAAATTTTTGTATTTTTAGTAGAGACGGGGTTTCACCATGTTGGCCAGGCTGGTCTCGAACTCCTGGCATCAAGTGATCCGCCCGCCTCGGCCTCCTAAAGTGCTGGGATTACAAGTGTGAGCCACCGTGCCCGGCCTGGATCTGGATTCTAATAGCAACAGCTAGAATTCTGAGGGACAGGCAGTGAGCTGGGAATCAAATTCTTGGCTCTACCACCCATTAGATGTGTGATCTTGAAACAGGTTTTCAGATGTGTAAGAAGGGAATAGCAAAGCTTGCGTCAAACGGTTGTTTGACTAGGTGAGCTCATGAGTGGGAAGTTGTTCTGGGCGAGCTGGTACACAACACTAGGCAGACAGTAAATCTTAGCTTCTTTGAGCCTGAGGCTGTTGTAGGTGCCAGTGATAACAGAGGCCAGAGTATCTATTCTCAAGCAATTTATATTCTAGTGGCAAGGAGATACGAAATACGCACCCATGTCTGTAATCCCAGCACTTTGAGAGGCGAAGGCCTGAAGATCTATTGAGACCAGGAGTTTGAGACCAGGAGTTCAAGACCAGCCTGGGCAACATAGCAAGACCCCGTCTCTTAAAAAAAAAAATTTTTTTTCATTTTTTTGGCCAGATGCAGTGGCTCATGCCTGTAATCCTAGCACTTTGGGATGTCAAGGCGGACGGATCACCTGAGGTTAAGAGTTTAAGAGTTCAAGACCAGCCTGGCCAACATGGTGAAACTCTGTCTCTACAAAAATACAAAAATTAGCTGGGCATGATGGCAGGTGCCTGTAACCCCAGCTACTCGGGAGGCTGAGGCAGCAGAATTGCTTGTACGTGGGAGGCACAGGTTGCAGTGAGCCGAGATCACGCCATTGCCCTCCAGCCTGGGCAACAGAGCGAGCCTCTATCTCAAAAAAAAAAACCAGTTTTTTTAATTAGCCGGGCATCGTGGTACATGCCTGTATTCCCAGATACTCTGGAGGCTGAGGCAGAAGGGTCCCTTGAGCCTAGGCTCCAGTGAGCCATAATCATGCCACTGCACTCCAGCCCTGGAGACAGAGCAAGATCCTGTCTCTAAATAAAAATAATTGGCTGGGTGCTTACCTATAATCCTAGCACTTTGGGAGGCTGAGGCCAATGAATTGCTTGAGTCCAGGAGTTTGAGACCAGCCTGGGCAGCATAGTGAGACACTGTCTCTATTTAAAAAAAAAAAAGAAGAAGAAGAATAGAAGAAAGATCTTTTTGAATAGAGATAGATGGCAACTTCCTCAGAATGGATGTGACGGTTGAACAGCACATGGAGATGATGGGAATGAGAAGTGCAGGGCAGCAGGGATCATTCTCAACAATGGTGGAAAATTGGAGTCTTCCAGGATCACTGTGTTCAGACTAATCCACCCTACATGAAGTTTTCTTTCTCTTTAAAGTGGGCCACTTGGAACAGGGACCCCTGTCAAAGAATGCATTCAAGAATCATGGATTTGGCTGGGCGAGGTGACTCACGCCTGTAATCTCAACACTTTGGGAGGCTGAGACGGATGAATCACCTCAAGTCAGGAGTTTGAGACCGGCCTGGCCAACATAGCAAAACCCCATCTCTACTAAAAATACAAACAAAATGAGCTGGGCGTGCTGGCTCATGCAGTGAGCCGAGATCACGCCATTGTACTCCAGTGTAGGCAACAAGAGTGAGACTCCATCTCAGAAAAACGGAAGAATCATGGAATGCTTCCACCAGGCACTCTGATGGATGGTGGGAGCCCTGGGCTGAGCTTAATGCCTTTCCTGAAGGAGTCACTCTCCCAAGGAGTAGGATTTGCCAGGTGCTAGAATCCGATAGAGGCCATGAGCAATACTTGTCTCAATGGTGGGATAACTACAGATTTAAACTTTGAGCCATGCACACACTCTGGTCCAGGCCCCAGTCCTGGAGCAAGAAGGAAGCAGGGGAAGGAAGAAGGTCCTCTGGAACCTGTGATTACCTGTGTTGTGTCAGGTTGTATGATTGTGGGGACCCCATTGAGTGCTACTCACAGGTTAGCCCCAGGCAGGTAGGAATGAGAAGGAGGAGAATAGGAGAAGAAGAGGAAAGGCTAGACAGGAGCATGACTGTTGGAGAGAACTTGAAGGGAAGTCTAGCAGTAGTATGGACGCTGTGCTATTGGTCAGGAGTCCTGCTGTGTTCTTGGTTTCCTAGCAACTGCTGTTAAGCAGGTAGTTGCTAGGCAATGCGGGGCCATCTAGGCGGTTAGGTAAGGACCTTTGTCTGCGTGGGCATGAATCAGACCATCACAGAGTATTGTTAATCCTGAAAATGGCCACTGGGTCCATTACTTAGATTTTTTTGGCCTTGTTGCACAGAAACTAATATAACCATGGTGCACAAGTTCTGGTCAAATGAGAAAGAAGTCACCCCATGATCTCATTATCCAAACAATACAAAAATTCTGTCTTTCCTCTTTCCATTCCAGTCTTTCTCTGCAGGAACACATTTTCATCTTGTTATCATCCTAGTACATGGGGTTTTAAACCTTGTTTTTTTGACTTTGATTTAGATCATCACAAGCATCCCTCAAGCTACTTAAGAGTTTTCAGGATAATCTTCCCCTGCATGACTCCTTGCAGTAGATATATCATTTACTTAACTATTCTCCTCTTGTTCTGACATTGAGTTTGCTTCCAATTTTTTGCCACAATAAGCAGTACTGCAATACACGTCTTTCTGCAGAGAGCTTTTCGTTATCCTTTAGATCACTGTCTTGAAGTCAATACTAAGGGATAGTATCAAAGGGCATAAATAGTCTCATGACTTTCTATATTTTGCAATAGCTTCCCTCATGCTGGGTGCAGTGGCTCAAGCCTGTAATTCTCACACTTTAAGAAGCCAAGAAGGAGGATCACTTGAGGCCAGGAGTTCAAGGCCAGCCTAGGCAACATAGCAAGACTCTGTCTCTACAAAACAAATTTATTTTAATTTTTATTTTTCTTTTGAGACAGAGTCTCGTTCGGTCACCCAGGCTGGAGTGCAGTGGCGCAATCTCAGCTCACTGCAACCTCGGCCTCCTAGGTTCAAGTGATTCTCCTGCCTCAGCCATCTCAGTAGCTGGGATTACAGGTGCACACCACCATACCCAGCTAATTTTTTTTTTTTTCTGAGACCGAGTCTCGCTCTGTCCCCCAGGCTGGAGTGCAATGACACGATGTCAGCTCACCGCAACCTCCGCCTCCATGGTTCAAGCAATTCTCCTGCCTCAGCCTCCTGAGTAGCTAGGATTACAGGCGTGCGCCACCACGCCTGGCTAATTTTTGTATTTTTAGTAGAGATGGGGTTTCACCATGTTGGCCAGGCTGGTCTCGAACTCCTGACCTTGTGATCCGCCCACCTAAGCCTCCCGAAGTGCTGGGATTACAGGTGTGAGCCACTGCGCCTGGCCGCTGGCTAATTTTTTTCTTTTTTGAGACGGAGTCTCGCTTTGTTGCCCAGGTTGGGGTGCAGTGGCGCAATCTCGGCTCACTACAACCCCCGCCTCCCGAGTTCAAGCGATTCTCCTGCCTCAGCCTCCTGAGTTTCCAGTAACTGGGACTACAGGCACGTGCCACCATGCCTGGATAATTTTTTGTATCTTTAATAGAGACGGGGTTTCACTGTGTTAGCCAGGATGGACTCGATCTCCTGACCTCGTGATCTACCCGCCTCGGCCTCCCAGTGGGATTACAGGCGTGAGCCACAACACCCAGCCAATTTTTGTAGTTTTAGTAGAGGCAGGGTTTCACCATGTTGCCCAGGCTCGTCTGGAACTCCTGGACTCAAGCAATCTGCCCACCTCGGCCTCCCAGAGTGTTGGAGTTACAGGCTTGAGCCACCATGCCCGGCTGAATTTCTTGATTCTTTAATGGCTGGTTTTTGTTTTCTTTTGATTTTAGAAGGCCTTAATTTGAAGACCTTTAATTTAATTTAATTTAATTAATTTAATTTATTTGAAGACAGTTTGAGGGAGAACAAAATGTCCTCACAGTTATTTTTTCATTATTTTAGTTGAATATATCTATAATATAGTTTATGATTACAACCATTTTTAAGTGTAAGCACATTCACCTCGACGTGCAACGATCACCACTGTCCATCTCCAGAATTTTTTCATCTTCCTTAATTGAAATTATGTACCCATTAAATAATAATTCCCCATTCCTGCCTCCTTTCAGCCCCTGGGAACCACTATTCTACTTTCTGTCTCTTTAAATTTGACCACTCTAGAAACCTTATATAAGTGGAATCATACAATCATTGTCCTTTTGTGCTTGCTTCTTTCACTTATCACAAAGTGTTCAAGGTTTATCCATGGTATTGCATGTGTCAGAATTTTTTTTTTTTTTTTTTTTTTTTTGAGATGGAGTTTTGCTCTTGTTGCCCAGGCTGGAGTGCAGTGGTGCAGTCTCAGCTTACTGCAACCTCCACCACCCGGGCTCAAGCCATTCTCCTGCCTCAGCCTCCCAAGTAGCTGGGATTACAGGTGTCGACCATCATGCCCAGCTAATTTTTTTTTTTTTTTGTATTTTTAGTAGAGCTGGGGTTTCACCATGTTGGCCAGGCTGGTCTCAAACTCCTGACCTCAGGTGATCCTCCCGCCTCGGCTTCCCAAAGTGCTGGGATTACAGGCGGGAGCCACCTCACCCAGCCAGAATTTCCTTCCTTTTAATGTTGGAAAACATCCCATTGTATGTCTATGCCACATTTTGGTTATCTGTTCATCTGTTGATGGACACGTGTGTTGCTTCCACCTTTCGGCTATTGTGAGTAATGCTGCCATGAACATAGGTGTACAGATATCTCTTTGAAACCTTGTTTTCAACTCTTTTGGGTATATACCCAGCAGGGGAATTGCTGGATTATCCTCACAGTTCTTAACCATTTAGTGTGGGTCAGCTTCTGGGTGGATAGAGTAATGGAAGGAGAAGAATGATGTTGCTGAATTGGCTGTTTGATGATTTTTTTTTTTTTTTTTGAGACAGACTTTTGTTCTTGTTGCCCAGACTGGAGTGCAATGGTGCCATCTCGGCTCACTGCAACCTCCACCTCTTAAGTTCCAGCGATTCTCCTGCCTCAGCCTCTCGGGTAGCCGTGATTACAGGCGCCCACCCCCATGCCCAGCTAATTTTGTATTTTGAATAGAGACGGGGTTTCACCATGTTGGTCAGGCTGGTCTCGAACTCCTGACCTCAGGCGATCCACCCTCATCCGCCTCCCAAAGTGCTGGGATTACAGACATGAGCCACCACACCTGGCCCTGTTTGATGATTTTTGTTCTATAGGAGCGGCACAAAGAGAAGAGGACAGAACAAAAGTAACCAAATCTATTCTCTCTGAGGAAGATCATATGTAGAGAGCAGAGGTCTGTGTGTGTGAAAGAAAACGGGGAAGAGGATGAAAATGTCCAGAGTGGTGAGCTCTGCTAGGCCCTGGAATGAAGCTGAGATGCTGGAAGCGCTAAGTTCTCTCTAGTGGGAGAAAACCCACTGTGGAAAGCTAATCATTTGATGTAGAACCTCACCAACGACCAGGAAGAAGCAATCAGTGCCCAGCTAGGCTAAACTGGGCCTGCGATAGGGTGTGAGTAGGGCCAGCTTCCTGGAAGTGCAACCTGTGCAATGGCAGTAGGCCCCCATGCTTGGGGTTTAATGCGTGGCAGTCAGTGCCTTGAAACTCTTAATAATTGTATCTTTGAATTTGTGCTTTGTAAGTGAAGTTTGATGGGACCTGGAGCATGCATAGGGGCAGGAAGGGAGGGTAGGGGGGCTTGGAGCCACAGCTCATGTGGAATCCCACCTGCCAGGTGCCACCTCACAGCGCCCAGACAGGTTCTTAGCTTCCCACTGTCTGCCCCGTGGAGCCCCAGGCTTTACTCAGCCTCCCCTTCTCTGCCTTGCTCAGCAACCATTGCTACCCCTAACCCCAGCAGGGGATTGAGTGGAGCACGGGGATGATCAGCATTGGATGTGAGCTCCCAGAAGCCTCTCAGGGTGGGGCAGGCAGCTGACCCTGCATTGGGCTAGAAGTGCCACAGCACCTTCAGCAGGTGACTAGGCTTATCCAGGCACATCCTAGTGTAGAGGTTGCAATACACTTGCAGGTTTCCCATCAACTGTGGGTTTGGGTAGAGGACCTGTGGAAAGGGGAGATTCCTGGCTTGACTTCCCTTCTCCCAGCCAGGGCACGCATATAAATTAGAAGTTGGCAGGAGAGGAATTCGGCAGCCATGGTTTCCAGGATAACAAATAGCTATAGCCCAGGCAGCAGAGATTCCCAGAAGGTCCTTCTCTCCCACCCACCCACTGACACATACACCCCACCACCACCACCACCACCAAAGCCTGTTTCCTCAGCTGGGCATGAACACTTCGAGCTAAAAGTGGCCTTTGTGAATTTTGCCTCTTGCTCTGTGTACACATTCTAAAGGGAACAAGTCTGTTTTGCTGCAGGGTGAGGCCCAGAATGCGGCCTGGGAAAGGCTAACAGGGCACAGTCTTTGATGGTGAGCAAGCCTGGGGTGGGTAGCTGAGGGGATTGGGAGGTATACCTCTTACCCTTGGGTCAGAGAGATGTGGGTTAGAACCCCAGCAGTCAGTGTTTTATTCTATTCTATTCTATTCTATTCTATTCTAATTTTTTTGAGACAGAGTCTCAGTCTATCACCCAGGCTGGTGTGCAGTGGTGTGATCTCAGCTCACTGCAACCTCCGCCTCCTGGGTTCAAGCGATTCTCGTGCCTCAGCCTCCCAAGTAGCTGGGATTACAGGCATGTGCCACTATGCCCGGCTAATTTTTGTATTCTTAGTAGAGAGGGGGTTTTGCCATGTTGGCCAGACTGGTCTCGAACTCCTGACCTCAGGTGATCCACCTACCTCAGCCTCCCAAAGTGCTGGGATTACAGATGTGAGCCACCACACCCGGCCCCCAGCAGTCAGTATTAGTGGCAGATTTTAGATTCCTTCACCTCTCAGCCTCAGTTTCCTCATTGGAACATTGGAGAAAATACTGGTGCCTAATTTAGGGGGTCATGAAAATTAAGTGAGACCATCTCTGCAGAAATGTTGAGCACAGTTCCCAGCACACAGTCGGTGGCCAGTGATTGGCTGCTGCTGCTGCTGCTGCTATCATCCATGTGTGTCCTAGGATTCCTCATAGAGGGGGTCACCAACATGATCAACTGGCCATTGTCCAGATCCAGGCTTTGGCCTGGCAGACTCAAATCTCTGATTCCTATTGACTCAGACAGTGTATCTTTCTTCCAGAGGCAAATACCCCTAAATGGATGAAGGAAACCTATCAAAGTATAGCACCGGAGAAAAGATCCCCCTAGAAGAGGCCTCTCTCACCTCTGAGAGGGGTATGTACTCTGGGCAGGTCCCAGAAGCAGGAGCTAAAGGTAGCCTTTGTCCATTCAGGGTTTTTTTTTGGTGGATTCTGGCTCCAGGCCCTGGACTCATGAGGTTTTTCCTGGAACGCTCTGGTGTCGAGCAGAGTGTGAAGTTGTAGCTTGGGATCTTCCAGTATCTGTCCTGTCAGGGATGTCTAGTGGTCCTGAAGTCCCTGGGCTGGGACGAAGTTAGCTCTTGTTGCTGGGCATAGGCATAGCTTGCACCAGGATGAGGCCATGGAGTCAGCCAAGCTCTCTCAATTCCTGACAGACAGAGCCCCCAGGGGTCACCTGGGCTGGGACCAGCACTGTTTTGTGATATATTCATTTCTGTACAGGTAGACCAGGTAAAAAATAATAAGGTGTCCTAGAGACACCTGGGCCTCTGCTGTCTGAGCTCCGGATTTAGCCTCACATCTTCTCAATATGCAAAGGACCCTGCAGTTACTAAAGCATTTTTAACACCTGCACTCCTCACTGACACCCAGCTCCTCCCCAATAAGCCTTTGCATGGTTCTGCCCGAGACCCTCTTGGTTACTGAGACTTCCCCACTACCTACTCCCACTTAAGCTGCATAGGTAGGTTTGGGTGACTTTCTCAATGCCACAGCCTTACATAAAGCTCTTCCATCCCACTCTACACACCCTTCCATTCCACCTTGAAAACCCTCTCATTGCACCCTACACACCCTTTCATTCTAGCCTCACATCCTTCCAATCATCCATCACACAATTCCATTTCACCCTTCACACCCTTCCATTCCACCTTGAAAACCCTCCCATTGCACCCTACACACCCTTTCATTCTAGCCTCACATCCTTCCATTCATGCATCACACAATTCCATTTCACCCTTCACACCCTTCCAGTCCATTATTCATTCACACCATTTCATTCCATTCTTCACGCCATTCCATTACAACCTTCATATTCTTCCACTCCACCTTACACACCTTATATTCCACCCTTGACACTCTTCCAGTCCACTACATGTCCTTCCGTTTCTCTCTTCACATCTTCCATTTCACCCTAAGCAACCTCCCATTTCACCCTTCACACCCTTCAATTCCACCCTTCACACCCCTCCATGACATCCTTCAAGCTCTTCCGTGCCACCCTTAACATCCTCTCATTCCACTTTTCACTCTCTGGTCCTTCCATGTCCTTCCATTCTGCCTTCTGCAACCTTCCATTCCATTCTTCACATTCTTTCACTCCACCTAAACCATCCTTCCATTCCACCCTCCACACCTTTCAATTTCACCCTTCATATACTTCCACCCGGCTTGGCGCAGTGGCTCATGCCAGTAATCCCAGCAGTTTGGGAGGCCGAGGCAGGTGGATCACTTGAGGTCAGGAAGTTCAAAACCAGCCTGGCCCATGTGGTGAAACCCTGTCTCTACTGCAAATACAAAAAATTAGCTGGGCATGATGGTGTGGGCCTGTAATCCCAGGTACTCAGAGGCTGAGGCAGGAGAATCGCTTGAACCTGGGAGGCAGAGGTTGCAGTGAGCCGAGACCGCTCCACTGCACTCCAGCCTGGACAACAGAGCAAGACCCCGTCTCAAAAAAAAAAAAAAAAGGAACTGCACCATTTTACATTCTCAACATCACGGATGAGGGTTCCATCTTCTCCTCATCCAGCCAACTGGAAGCCCTTTTAGCTGAGGTGGTTAAGCTGTGAGAACCAGAGTTTGCTGCTGCCGTTATTCACTGCATCATTCATTCAGCAAAAACCTGAGTACCTACCACTACCTAGTAGGCTCTGGCCATGCAAGAAGTCCCTGGCAACGCTGTAGGATAGAGAGGAACAGCACCCTGGTTACAGCGTTTCAGCATCCTGGCCTTGGTTCACCCCGGGGCCTTTCACTTGCAGGAGGCAGGGAGTTCTCTGATGGCAGTTTGAGTTGGATTTGCTGCAACTAACAAAGCCGGCCAGTGGACCTCTCCAATCTACTGGGACTCAAATAAATCCAAGTGATTGTTCTCCCTCCATTCCAGGAAGGAACACCAGCCAGCCGTGGAACCTCAGGTGCAACAGAGACGCCAGGAGATACTAGTGCCCAGCAGCCTGCGGCAGTACCAATGAAGCCAGAGAGGGCTTGGTGGATGACAAGGAGGCCTGAGTAGACCGCAGGTGGGTCTGAGAAATGGGCTTAGGTGAGGCAGGTCTTTGAAGGATTTGTTCTTAATCATATGCGAGATGCTCAAAAGGCTGGATGCCTGCTTTTGTGGGTGAAGAGCAAGAAGAGAAAACAGGTTGTACACATACAGATGCAGATGGAGAGACAGAGAAAAAAAAGGAAGAAGGCAGAGAAATGCACCAATTCTTGAGCTGTATTATCTCTGGACCTTGGGATTGTGGGAGGCTTTATTTTACTACTGATTTTGCCTACACTGTTTTCTCAATTTCTAGTTTTCTACAAAGATGATGTGTTAGCTTTTTCACGCATTAAGATTAAAATTTAAAACAGACCACACAATAAATATTTCTTTTAAAAGGAGAAATATGCCCTGGGGAAGCTCCCCACGCAGCTGAGAGCCTGGCTGGTTGCATTTCGGCTTCTTAGGTGCCAAGCCTACTAGTGCCCCGGGGTCCCAGCCAGCGGCTCGCGTTTCCTCCCCCTTGCGCCGCCAGTCTGGTTGCCATGGAGACAAACCTTGCTGCGCAGAGACTGCCGAGCCGCAGGCAGCGGAGCTGGAACCCGGCGAGCCAGCCTCTGCAACAGGCTGGGGGCGGAAGGAGGAGCCAGGCGAAGCGGCGCCTCAGCTGAGAGGACCGGCGGACCCTGCAGAGGCCCCCTGCCCCTCTGGCTCCGCCCCCACCCGGGTCGCTAGAAATACAGCCGTAGCCCCGCCCACCGCCCACTGCGCTCTGACCCAGACCCGGCTGACCCACCTACCCGCGATCCTGCCCATGGCTGACGGGCTCTTTCGGCGCAGACCCTGGGGTCTCGAGCAGATTCGCCCGGACCCCGAGTCCGAAGGCCTGTTTGACAAGCCTCCCCCGGAAGACCCTCCCGCTGCCCGCGGGCCCAGGTCGGCGTCGGCCGCGGGCAAGAAGGCTGGTCGGCGCGCGGGCGGGAGGGCGCAGGGGGGCCGCGCCGGGCAGCCCCCGAAGGCCGCATCGCGCCCCCCGCCCAAGAAGGAGGCGCCTCCACTGGACGAGGGCTGCTATCTCGACCATTTTCCGCACCTCTCCATCTTCATCTACGCAGCCATCGCCTTCTCCATCACCTCCTGCATCTTTACCTATATCCATTTACAGCTTGCCTGAGTGGCCAGCGCGGGACGGGGTGGGCGCAGGACCGAGCGGGGAGGGAAAGGGAAAACGGGGCTCGGCATTTTGTGTTTTAGAACAGCGCTGCACCCCCTTCATGTAGCTTTCGATGCTTGTTTCTTTCCGTCTTTGTTGTCACTATCTTTGTCTATCAGTACGAAAGTACAAAGTAGCTGCCGGCAATGAAATAGGGGTGCTGTTTGCACCTGCAGGTTAGGGGTGGAGGCGTTTAGAATTTTGGGGTGTGATTGAGCCCCGTTTATAATTAGAATGCCCCTGGACCCCTACCACTCTGTGACGTGGGGGCACGCGCAGGGATCCCATCATTTTGTGTTTGGGGAGCTCAGAGTGCGCCCAATCTTGGAATCTTTAAGGGATGAGCCAGACCCAGACCCGCGGCCTTCTAGAGAGGGTCCGGCAGGGAGGGTCGGCGCCCTGGCCCGGGGTGGGCCGGAGCCCTGTGATGCTGCATCGCCCCCAGGAGGAGCCAGCTGTGCCCCAGAGTTGGCGCGGCCGAGAGAGGACAAGAGCGCGCAGCAGGCGAAGCTGGAGGGCGGGACTCGGTAAGTGGCGTTCGTCGGGGTGTCGTGCTGCGCCCCCAGGGGCTCCGGCTGACCACGACTGTGTGTTTTTCCTGCCTTAGACTTTGTTGTCGCTGCCCGGAGGAGTCGAGACTGGTACCCGGAGGAGCTGTCTCACCAGGAGACCACGTCCTGGAAGTGTCCGGGACTCGCGGGACCTGTGGCTGCAGACCCCGCCGGCACGCAGGCCCAGAGCTGGCGCACTCCTGAGGATGAGACTCTGGGGGCCCTAGCCGGGGTCCACGGGAGGGCTGTCCTTGGGGACTCTAGGATGGCTTCGTTCTGGCCCGGCTCACTTCTGGAGCTGTGAGACCCAAGACAAAAGGGGCTGAGGGATTTCTCATTGACAAGAGTTCGTGCGGGAAAACCACCTGATCCCTAGGGATTTGTCATCTTAAGACTCAAAAGGCTTAATACCAGGAACCACCTTGGCAAGATATTTACCCACCGGCCATCTCTGTTTACTCATGAATGTTAAATGTTAAAACGCAGCGCTCTAACCCTGCATATTATTTACTTGCAAATGTCTGTAATCTGTAATTGTGATGCCTCTGATGGAATAAATTATCTTTTTCAGTCTCCTCTATATTCAGTTCTCCATTAATTTCCAACTCTTCTAACTTCTTCTGCCAAACTTCCTAGTCTGCTCCACAGCATCCCCACTGTCCCTCCAAAACAGACTTAATCCTGTGACCCAGCATTCCAAAATATAGCCTCTCCCTCCACTAAATAGCTACAAGGCCCTTCAATGGCATCTTTCTCCACGTCAGGTCCTCACAACATGCCAGTATCCGAGTCTACCATCCCTTATGGCAGATCAGCCACTATCCCATTGTGGCATTACCTACTGCCCCTCAGTATTTCGTTTCCACTTGCCTCCATTTTGAAGACCGAGTACGGCCCCCCAGCTAAGCTCTGGAATTTTCCCCCTGGGTCTTTACAAACGCCCTGTTTTCCAATATCAGGGCCTTGCCATTTCTCAGTTCTGACTTCCCATAATCCCATATCACTCTGTGCCTTGATATCTTGCCCCCGGACACTTGTTTCGGTGCCACAAGTATGACATCCACGGTTCCCCAATGTCAGCCTGTGCTTTACAATCACACTTTACTACAACAATTCCCCCACAGCAATCGGTGGCACTATTTCCCAAAATTAGGTCTCCAGGCCGGGCTCGTTGGCTCACGCCTGTAATCCCAGCACTTTGGGAGACCGAGGCGGATGGATCACGAGGTCAGGAGATTGAGACCATCCTGGCTAACATGATGAAACCCCGTCTCTACTAAAAATACAAAAAAAAAAAATTAGCTGGGCGTGGTGGTGGGCGCCTGTAGTCCCAGCTACTCGGGAGGCTGAGGCAGGAGAATGGCATGAACCCGGGAGGCGGAGCTTGCAGTGAGCCGAGATCGCGCCACTGCACCCCAGCCTGGGCGACAAAGCGAGACTCCGTATCAAAAAAAAAAAAATGTCTCCAAAGGACCACAATATTTATCCCTCACTGGTTTCCACCTTTCAATCGTGGATATTCGATCTTCTGCTATCGCTTAGTATTGAGTACTCACGGACTCCCAATATATAGCCTAGCGCTCTCCAAACATTTGATCTCATTGTTTCCCTTTCATACATGCCCTGTTCTCTCTCATACAGTCCCTTAGTGACTACTCAGTATGTGATCCCCCAGCTTCCTTTCCTCCGTCAATCTCCTGATAGTAGACTCCTCCTCCTGTTCCCAAAACCAAAGGTCCCTGTTCCTCAATATTCAGTCACTGTTCCACAATATCATGGCCCTTTTTGTGCCACAAAATCTGGGCCTCCATTTTCTCTTTTTTTTTTTTTTCTTTTTTTTTTCGTGCAGTGGCATGATCTCAGCTCACCTCAACCTCCGCCTCCCAGGTTCGAACAATTCTCGTGCCTCAGCCTCCCAACTAGCTGGGACTCCAGGTGCGTGCCACCATGCCCAGCTAATTTTTTTTTTTTAGACTGAGACTCACTCTGTGCCCCAGGCTGGAATGCAGTAGCCTGATCTTGGCTCACTGCAACCTTTGCCACTGGGTTCAAACAACTCTCCTGCCTCAGCCTCCCAAGTAGCTGGGATTACAGGCGTGTGCCACCACACCCGGATAATTTTTTTGTATTTTTAGTAGAGACGGGGTTTCACCATGTTGGCCAGGCTGGTCTTGAACTCCTGACCTCAAGTGATCCACCCGCCTCAGCCTCCTAAAGTGCTGGGATTACGGGTGTCAGCCACTGTGCCTGGTCTGGGCCTCCATTTTCTACCCCAGATTCCAACACCTGGTTCCCATGACTATACTGTTATTAGATCTTATTGCCTCTACAATATTAATATTGGCTTCAATATTCTCCTAAATATCCAGCCCCATTTGATCCCCTTATTTCAGTATTTATTGCGTTGTTCCCCAAATACTTGATTATTGTCTCAATATTGTACTCCAGTCTTCCTTGACACTCACCCCATCACTGCTGTCTCCAATATTAAACTCACTCCAGCCCCCAAATTCATTTTCTTCCCATACCCCCATATTCTCTCCTATCAGCCCATCTCTCTTCCCCATACTTCTCCCGATTTCACTCTCCTTCAAATTCCTGGTTCCATAGAGCTCCAGTACCTGGCCTGTATTTTCTAATCAATATTAAATTTCCATTACTCTCACGCCATCTACACAATGAGATACCACTTAATCCTCACTAAGTATTAAGTGTACACTTAATCCTAAGTATTAATCCTAAGTATTAAGTGTACACTTAATCTGTACACTTCAATGTGTACACACAATAAGCGTGTACTTTTAGTATCATCATGCATCTAAGGTGGCCAATTTTCCTCTTATATAGTTTGAGTTATAGTTTACGTATCCCAGGAATATGTGATGACATATCTCCCTACTGCCCACCTAATTTCACAGTTACTGCTTACCTATATTGAGCTTGCAACTGTCCTCCAATTTCTGGGAGTCCAGTAAGAGTTTCCTTTGTCCAAAATATCAAGCCTTTCCCTGTCTGCTTAGTATACACGGACAGCCTTTTAGACCATAAAAACAAATGGGCCCCCAAGCCAGGTGCAGTGATGCACACCTGTAGTCCCAGCTACTTGAGAGACTGATGCAGGAGGATCCCTTGAGGCCAGACATTTGAAACCAGCTAGGCAACATGGCAGAGACCCCATCTCCAAATAAAACAAAAGGAAAAAACAAACAAACAAGGACCCATTTTTGGGGTCCTTGTGCTGTGCTGCTCAAGAATCGAATTCTAGAGTCTTATTAGCCTGGCTGGGGTCACATGCCCATCTTTGGCTAAAAGGCAGAAGAGTTATCTTAATAGGCAATCCTGTGAAAATAGCATGCAATAGGAAAGGAATAGTTCCCAGAGGAAAACTGAAGAGCCATGGATGCTAGGCAGGTGAAAATATCAGATATCCAGTAAACTGACTTTCGGTAAGTCACAAAGGATGAAGGTAAAGCCAACTGTTTCGGGCAATTTGGGTTGTCAGTGGTAGGTAAATATATGGAGACAGTGAAGTAAGCAGTGGTTCTGAATATCATGGAACAGTAGTAAGTTTAAGTTGTTGAGAAACAGTTGAAATTTAGCTATTTGAAACAGTAGAAACTGATACTGGGAAAATTGATTTTTTTTTTTTTTTTTTGAGACAGTCTCGCTCTGTTGCCCAGGCTGGAGTGCAAAGGTACAATCTTGGCTCACCACAACCTCCACCTCCGCCTCCCAGGTTCAAGCAATTCTCCTGCCTCAGCCTCCGGAGTAGCTGGGATTACAGGTATGCACCACCATGCCCAGCTAATATTGTATTTTTTTAGTAGAGATGGGGTTTCTCCATGTTGGTCAGGCTGGTCTCGAACTCCTGACCTCAGGTGATCTGCCTTCCTCGGCCTCCTAAAGTGCTGGGATTACAGGCGTTAGCCACCGTGGCTGGCCAGATTAATTTTTTAACTATGTCATTGCTTGTTAGAGTCCAAGCACTGGAGATAATTATCAGCAAAACAGAGACAACCCTTGCCTTCATGGAGCTCACTTTGTTAATGATAGAATTTAAACATGTGGCGGCTTAGTGTTTTATTTAGTGTGAGTTCATTGAATTCTCACAACCCTATGAGGTAGGTTCTATTATTCTTCCCATTTGGCAGATGAGGAAACAGGCATAGGTGAAATGATTTGCCCAAGGTCACAGCAATGGAGCAAGATTTTGAACCCAGGCATTGTTTCTGGAGTGTGTATTCTTATTTTTACCAGCTATATTAAGACATAATTCATATAACTCATAACTCACTCATTTAAAGGGTACAATTCAATGGCTTTTAGTATACTCAGAGTTGTGCAACCATTACAATTGATATTGGGACATTTTTTGTTTCTTTTGTTTGTTTTTTTTGAGACTGGGTCTGGCTCTGTCACTCAGGCTGGAGTGCAGTGACCCAATCTTGGTTCACTGCCACCTTCACCTCCTGGGCTCACACGATTCTCCCACCTCAGCCTCCTAAGTAGCTGGAACTACAGGTGAACGCCACAATGCCCAGCTGATTTTTGTATTTTTTGTAGAGATGGTTTGTTTGTTTGTTTGTTTTTTGAGACAGAGTCTCGCTCTATTGCCCAGGCTGGAGTGCAGTGGCACCATAAACTGCAACCTCCGCCTCCTGGGTTCAAGCAATTCTCCTGCTTCAGCCTCCCCAGTAGCTGGGATGACAGGTGCACGCTGCCATGCCTGACTAATTTCTTGTATTTTAGTAGAAACGGAGTTTCACCGTGTTGCCCAGGCTGGTCTTGAACTCCTGAGCTCAGGCAATCTGCCCACCTCCGTCTCCCAAAGTGCTGGGATTACAGGCGTGAGCCACCGCGCCTGGCGTCTAAGGGTTCTTTATATATTTTAGATACAAGTCCATTATTAAATGATTTACAATTTATTATCCCATTCTGTGAGTTGTCTTTTCACATTTGTGATGGTGTCTTTGAAACACAAAAGTTTTAAATTTTGATGATATCCAGTTCATCTATTTTTCCTTTGTTGCTTATGTTTTTGGTGGCATAGCTAAGAAACTACTGACCCACAAAGATTATGAAGATTTAAACCTAATACATGTTTTCTTCTAAGAGTTTTATAGTTTTAGCTCTTAAATGTAGGTCTTTGATCCATTTTAAGTTCATATTTGTACATGGTGTGCAGTAGGATCCAACTTCATTCTTTTGTATGAGGGCGTCCAGTTATCCCAACACTGTCTGTTGAGAAGACTCTTCTTCCCCCATTGAATTATCCCAGCACCCTTATCCAAATCATTTGACTGTAAATGTGAGGGTTAATTTCTGGTTTTTGTTGTTTTTTAAAAATATTTGTGTGTGTGTGAGGGTTAATTTCTGGATTCTCTTTTTTTTTTTTTTTTTTTTTTTTTTTTTGAGATGGAGTCTCACTCTGTCCCCCAGGCTGGAGTGCAGTGGCATGATCTCGGCCCACTGCAACCTCCACCTCCCAGCTTCAAGTGATTCTCCTGCCTCAGCTTCCCAAGTAGCTGGGATTAAAGGTTTGCGCCACCATGTCTAGCTAATTTTTGTATTTTTTTTTTTTATTAGAGACAGGGTTTCGCTATGTTGGCCAGGCTGGTCTTGAACTCCTGACCTCAAGTGATCCACCTGCCTTGAACTCTCAAAGTGCCAGGATTACAGGCATGAGCTATCTCGCCTGGCCTGGATTCTTACCTCTATTTATCTATATGTCTATCTTTATTCCATTAACACACAGTCCTGATAACTATAGCTTTGCAGTAAATTTTGAAATTGGAAAGTATGAGTTCTCCAACTTTGTTATTCTTTGTCGAAATTGCTTTTGCTAGTCTAGGTGTTTTGAATTTCTATATACATTTCAGGATCAGCTTGCCAATTTCTACAAAGAAGTCAATTAGAATTTTGATAAGGATTGTGTCTTTATTAGCATCATGAAAACAGACTAATACAATGAGTTTTCTACATTTTCTGTTAAATTTCTTCAAAGGATTTTATTTTTGGTGTCTTCAAAATGGAATTGATTTCTCAATTTGATTTCCTGTTTGCTCATTGCTAGTGCATAGAAAAATAATTGAGGCTTGGTACAGTGGCTCGTGCCTGTAATCCCAGCACTTTGGGAGACTGAGGCAGGAGGATCACTTGAGCCTGGGAGTTTGAGACCAGCCTGGGCAACATAGCAAGACCTCATCTCTACTAATAATTTAAAAAATTAGTCGGGCATGGTGGCAAGCTCTTTGTGGTCTCAGCTACTCTGGAGGCTGAAGTGGGAGGATCACTTGAGCCCGGGTGGTTGAGGCTGCAGTGAGCTGAGATCTTGCCACTGAACTCCAGCCAGGGCAACAGGGCGGGACCTTATCTCAAAAAAAGAAAAATAATAGCTTTTCTTACATTGATATTATATTCTGAATCCTTGCTGAAACTCATTTATTTGTTCTAATAATCATAACTATTAGTTCTAATAGTTTAAGATGACAACAGAATGGTCTTCTACAAGATTATATCATCTGCAGATACGATCTGTCTTTCCAATCTGGATTCCTTTTATTTCTCTTTCTTGGGAAACTTTCCTGGGTAAGATCTTCAGCAAATGCTGAATAGGATGCTGAAAGTGGGCCTCCTTTGCTTTCTTTCCTGATATTCAGTATTTCACCATTAAGTGTGATGTTAGCTGTGAGTTTTTCATAGATGTCCTTTATCAGGTTGAGGAAATTCCCTTCTGTTCCTAGTTTGTTGAGTGTTTTTGGCATGGAGGGGTGTTGAATTTTGTCAAATGTTTTTATGTGTCCATTGAGGTGATCATAGGGTTTTTGTTCTTTATTCTATTGAGGTGGTGTATTTCATTAATTCATTTTCAGCAGTTAAACCAACCTTACATTCCTGGGATAAATCCCACTTGGTCATCGTGTATAATCCTTTTTATATACTACTGGATTTGATTTACTTATATTTTGTTGAGTATTTTTTTTTTTTTTTTTGAGACAGGGTCTCACTCCGTCACCCAGGCTGGAGTGCAGTGTTCATAACCATGGCTCACTGCAGCCTCAACTTCCCTGGCTTGAGCTAGCCTCCCACCTCAGCCTCCCAGGTCTCTGGGACTACAGGCATGCACCACCATGCCTGGCTGATTTTTTCTAGTGTTTGTAGAGATGGGGTCTCACTATGTTGCCTAGGCTGGTCTTGAACTCCTGTGCTCAAACAATCCTCCCACATCAAGTCTCCCAAAGTGCTGGGATTACAGGCGTGAGCCACCATGCCTGGCTTTGTTTGTTTGTTTGTTTGTTTGTTTTTACAGAGTCTCAGTCTGTTGTCCAGGTTAGAGTGCGGCAGCAGGACCTCGTCTCATATTGAAACCTCTGCCTCCCGGGTTCAAGTGATTCTCGTGCCTTAGCCTCCTGAGTAGCTGGGATTGCAGGTGCACGCCAGCACACCTGGCTAATTTTTGTTTGTTTTTTGCTTTTTGAGACAGTCTCACTCTTATCACCCACGATGGAGTGGAGTGGTGCAATCTCGGCTCACTGTAACCTCCACCTCCCGGGTTCAAGCAATTCTTGTTCCTCAGCCTCCCAAGTAGCTGGGATTACAGGAGCGTGCCACCACACCTGGTTAATGTTTGTATTTTAGTAGAGATAGGGTTTCATCATGTTGCCCAGGCTAGTCTTGAACCCCTGAGCTCAGGCGACCTGCCTGCCTCAGCCTCCCAAAGTGCTGGCATTACAGGCATGAGCCACTGCACCCAGCTATGTTAAGAATTTTTTTTTTTTTGCATTTACATCCATTATGTAATGGTGAATAGGCATGACAGTAGAGAATAAATAAAACCAGGGAAGGTTTGGTATTACAGAACAATGGGATCTCATATTGGGGTGGGGGGGAAAGTGAGAAATTGGGTGAGATTGATGCTGGATGGGAGATGGGACAATTTTATCCTTTATTCTATAGTGGTTCTATTTATTCTGTTCTATTGATGCATTTTCACACGTTAAAACAACCTTGCATTCCAGGGAAGCAGAGAATGGGTAAACAACTGTATATAATTCTGATTTAGTCATAAATTTCTGAAGGGAGAATTTACTTTTTAGAGGATGATAGGGTCAACTATATTATTTCTGCAGAGACACCACCATAACAAACAGCAACAGTAATGTCCAGCAATTATTAAGCATGTACTCAACACAAAATGGACCCGAGTTCAAACACTGGATTTCACCCTTCTATCCAGGTCATGACCATACTTAACTGTATTAAGATGAACCATATTACTGCATATAATAATGTCAAGGCCTCAGCAGTAGTTTCCTTAATAGATAGCTTATATCCTCATGAACATCTCAATATTCTGATTTCACTAACATGCCTACTAATAGGTATATTGTTTCCTGTGACTGCTGTAACAAACTGATGACTTAAAACATATTCTCTCACAGTTCTGGAAGCCAGAAATGCAATCCACCTGTTGGCTCTAAGGCAGAATCTCTTCTTTGCCTCTTCCAGCTTGTGGGGGCTGCATTACTCCAAACTTTTTTTTTTTTTTTTTTTTTCTGAGATGGAGTCTTGCTCTGTCACCGGGCTGGAGTGCAGTAGCACGATCTCTGCTCACTGCAACCTCCGCCTCCCGGGTTCAAGCGATTCTCCTGCCTCAGCCTCCCGAGTAGCTAGGATTACAGGCATGTGCCACCACACCTGGCTAATTTTTTATATTTTTAGTAGAGACAGGTTTTCACCATGCTGGCTAGGCTGGTCTTGAACACCTGACCTCAAGTGATCTGCCCACCTAGGCCTCCCAAAGTGCTGGGATTACAGGTGTGAGCCACCATGCCCGGCCCCAACCTGCTTTTAGGTCCTAATACCTCCTCCTTTTCTGTCTGAAATCTCCCTCTG